>NC_000006.12:6878181-7029696 GCF_000001405.40 Homo sapiens | reverse complement strand
GTTGTGCAGTTTTGAGTGAGTTTCTTAATCCTGAGTTCTAATTTGATTGCACTGTGGTCTGAGAGACAGTTTGTTGTGATTTCTGTTCTTTTACATTTGCTGAGGAGTGCTTTACTTCCAACTATGTGGTCAATTTTGGAATAAGTGCAATGTGGTGCTGAGAAGAATGTATTTTCTGTTGATTTGGGGTGGAGAGTTCTGTAGATGTCTATTAGGTCTGCTTGGTGCAGAGCTGAGTTCAGGTCCTGGATATCCTTGTTAACCTTCTTTCTCGTTGATCTGTCTAATATTGACAGTGGGGTGGGGTGTTAAAGTCTCCCATTATTATTGTGTGGGAGTCTAAGTCTCTTTGTAGGTCTCTAAGGATTTGCTTTATGAATCTGGGTACTCCTGTATTGGGTGCATATGTATTTAGGATAGTTAGCTCTTCTTGTTGAATTGATCCCTTTACCATTATGTAATGGTCTTCCTTGTCTCTTTTGATCTTTGTTGGTTTAAAGTCTGTTTTATCAGAGAACAGGACTGCAACCCCTGCTTTGTTTTGCTTTCCATTTGCTTTGTAGCTCTTCCTCCCTCCCTTTATTTTGAGCCTATATGTGTCTCTGCATGTGAGATGGGTCTCCTGAATACAGCATGCTGATGGGTCTTGACTCTTTATTCAATTTGCCAGTCTGTGTCTTTTAATTGGAGCATTTAGCCCATTTACATTTAAGGTTAATATTGTTATGTGTGAATTTGATCCTGTCATTATGATGTTAGCTGGTTATTTTGCTCGTTAGTTGATGCAGTTTCTTCCTAGCATCGATGGTCTTTATAATTTGGCATGTTTTTGCAGTGGCTGATACCGGTTGTTCCTTTTCATGTTTAGTGCTTCCTTCAGGAGCTCTTGTAAGGCAGGCCTGGTGGTGACAAAATCTCTCAGCATTTGCTTGTCTGTAAAGGATTTTGTTTCTCCTTCACTTATGAAGCTTTGTTTGGCTGGATATGAAATTCTGGGTTGAAAATTCTTTTCTTTAAGAATGTTGAATATAGGCCTCCACTCTCTTCTGACTTGTAGAATTTCTGCTGAGAGATCCACTCTTAGTCTGATGGGCTTCCCTTTGTGGGTAACCTGACCTTTCTTTCTGGCTGCTCTTAACATTTTTTCCTTCATTTCGACCTTGGTGAATCTGACAATTATGTGCCATGGGGTTGCTCTTCTTGAGGAGTATCTTTGTGGTGTTCTCTGTATTTCCTGAATTCGAATGTTGGCCTGCCTTTCTAGGTTGGGGAAGTTCTCCTGGATAATATCTTGAAGAGTGTTTTCCAACTTGGTTCCATTCTCCCCATCACTTTCAGGTACACCAATCAAATGTAGATTTGGTCTCTTCACATAGTCCCATATTTCTTGGAGGCTTTGTTCATTTCTTTTTATGCTTTTTTCTCCAAACTTCTCTTCTGACTTCATTTCATTAATTTGATCTTCAATCACTGATACCCTTTCTCTCACTTGATCAAATTGGCTACTGAAGCTTGTGTACACGTCACGTAGTTCTCGTGCCATGGATTTCAGCTCCATCAGGTCATTTAAGGTCTTCTCTACACTGTTTATTCTAGTTAGCCATTTGTCTAATCTTTTTTCAAGGTTTTTAGCTTCCTTGTGATGGGTTAGAACATCCTCCTTTAGCTCGGAGAAGTTTGTTATTACCGACCTGCTGAAGCCTACTTCTATCCGCTTCTCTGTCCAGCTTTGTTCCATTGCTGGTGGGGAGCTGCAATCCTTTGGAGGAGAAGTGGCACTCTGGTTTTTAGAATTTTCAGCTTTTCTGCTCTGGTTTCCCCATCTTTGTGGTTTTATCTACCTTTGGTGTTCGAGGCTGGTTACCTGCAGATGGGGTTTGCCGTGGATGTCCTTTTTGTTGATGTTGATGCTATTCCTTTCTGTTTGTTAGTTTTCCTTCTAACAGGTCCCTCAGCTGCAGGTCTGTTGGAGTTTTCTGGAGGTCCACTCCAGACACTGTTTGCCTGGGTATCAACAGTGGAGGCTGCAGAACAGCAAATATTGCTGCCTGATCCTTCCTCTGGAAGCTTCGTCCCAGAGGGGCACCACCTGTATGAAGTGTCAGTTGGCCCCTACTGGGAGGTGTCTCCCAGTTAGGCTATACAGGGGTCAGGGATCCACTTGAGGAGGCAGTCTGTCCATTCTCGGAGCTCAAACACGTGCTGGGAGAACCACTGCTCTCTTCAGAGCTGTCAGTCAGGGACGTTTAAGTCTGCAGAAGTTGTCTGCTGCCTTTTGTTCAGCTATGCCATGCCCCCAGAGGCGGGGTCTACAGAGGCAGTAGGCCTTGCTGAGCTGCAGTGGGCTCTGCCCAGTTTGACCTTCCCCGGCCACTTTGTTTACCTACTCAAGCCTCAGCAATGGTGGACGCCACTCCCCTGCCAGGCTGCTGCCTCGCAGGTCGATCTCAGACCACTGCGCTAGCAGTGAGCAAGGCTCCGTGGGCATAGGACCTGCCAAGCCAGGTGCGGAATATAATCTCCTGGTGTGCCGTTTGCTAAGACCGTTGGAAAAGCACAGTATTTGGACAGGAGTGTCCCGATTTTCCAGGTACAGTCTGTCACGGCTTCCTTTGGCTAGGAAAGGGAAATCCCTTGACCCCTTGTGCTTCCCGGGTGAGGTGATGCCCTGCCCTGCTTCAGCTTGCCCTCCGTGGGCTGCACACGCTGTCCAACCAGTCCCAATGAGATGAACCAGGTACCTCAGTTGGAAATGCAGAAATCACTATCTTCTGTGTCGATCATGCTGGGAGCTGCAGATCGGAGGTCTTCCTATTCGACCATCTTGGAATGGAATCTATTTTACTTTTTATAATTATGAAAGTAATAGCCACTCATTGCAAAACATTTAGGAAGTGTAAAACAGAAATAAATATCACTTGTGATCTCACCCTTCATTATTCACATTTTGGCATTCTCCTTCTTGATTTTTATTTTTGGAGATAGAGTCTTGTTCTGTCACCAGGCTGGAGTGCAATGGTGCGGTCTCAGCTCACTGCAACCTCTGCCTCCTGGGTTCAAGCGATTCTCCTGCCTCCGCCTCCCAAGTAGCTGGGATTATGGGCACGTTCCACCACGCCCAGCTAATTTTTGTATTTTTAGTAGAGATGGGGTTTCACCATGTTGGCCAGGCTGGTCTTGAACTCCTGACCTCATGATCCACCTGCCTCAGCCTCCCAAAGTGCTGGGATTACAGGCATGAGCCACCACACCTGGCCTCTCTTTTTTGATTTTATCTTGGCTTCAAGAGGGGCCATTTCAACTGGGCTTTACAAAATGAGTAGCAGTTTGCCAGGCAATTCAAAAGTGGCAAGGCCTTCCAGAAGGACGAAATGACATGCCCAGGCCCAGAGATGTGAATGTGCCTGGGCAAGGTGTGCAAAATCTGAGGAGAAAGGGACAGGAGAGCCAGCGTCATGAACAAATACTGACTGAGCCCCTGCTTCTTGCCAGATAGTGTAGCAGGCACTGGAGGCACAATGGTATGCAAAGCCAGATAAGGTCCCGTCCTTGTGGAGGTTAAGGTCGTTTGGGGAAGACAGATATGGATCAGATAAATGATCTGATCTGATCCACACACACATAAATGAAGCCTTACTAACTGTGGGAGTGGCGAGGGAGCATGGGTAGAGCTTGTGACAGGCTATCTGGCTGGTCTGTGGGCAGATGGGATTTGAGATAGGAGAGTGTCATTTGAATTGAGATTTTGTTTTCTTTCTTTTCTTCTTCTTCTTCTTCTTCTTCTTCTTCTTCTTCTTCTTCTTCTTCTTCTTCTTCTTCTTCTTTCTTCTTCTTCTTCCTCTTCCTCTTCTTCTTTTTTTTTTTTTCAAGAGACAGGGTCCTACTATGTTACCCAGGCTGGTCTTGAATACCGGCCTTAAGTTATCCTCCAGCCTCAGCCTCCCAAAATGTTGGGGATTAGAGGTGTGAGCCACTGTGCCCAGCTAGAATTGAGATTGAAAGCATGAATCAAGTTGGCCTGGTGAAAGGGGGGTGACTAGAGAGCATTTCAGCAGAGAAGTTGCTGGTAAGGCTCAGTGGTAGAGGGAGAACTGTGGACCCAGAGAGCTGTGGCTGGAGCTCGGGGCAGCAGGGACCAGCTAGGGCCGCATCCCAGGCCAGGATAAAGACCTGTTAGGCTTTATCCTAAGAATGACGGGAATCCAAGGTTGGATTTTAAGCCTGCGGGGGGGCAGGGTGGGTGCAGAGGCTGGTGGCCTGATCAGATCTGAATTTTGAAAAGGCCTCTCTGGCAGCAGAATAGAGGATTTCAGAGGACAAAGGTAGAGACAGGAAGCTAGCATTTATTTGTTAATACATACACGGGATCCCACTGTATATATTATTCTGAAACTTGCCTTTTTTGTGCTAGTTATTATGTCATCTTGATCTATTTCGTTCAATTTTACAACTCAGTCCAATATTCCATAGTATAGATGTACATAGTCTATATAAGCATTCACAATGTATTTAACCATTTCTACATTGTTTCCAGTTTTTCATCCTTACCAGCTCTCTACTGGCAGGAGCATCCTTTAATATGGGCGGTGGCAGGCAGAATTCTGAGATTTTAAAAAAAGGGTCTTGGCCGGGCACAGTGGCTCATACCTGTAATCCCAGCACTGTGGGAGGCTGAAGCTGGTGGATCACCTGACATCAGGAGTTCAAGACCAGTCTAGCCAACATGGTGAAACCCCATCTCTACTAAAAATACAAAAATTAGACAGGCATGGTGGCACACGCCTGTAATCCCAGCTACTTGGGAGTCTGAGGCAGGAGAATCACTTGAACCGGGAGGTGGAGGTTGCAGTGAGCCGAGATTGTGCCACTACACTCCAGCCTTGGAGACAGAGTGACACTCCGTCTCAAAAAAAAAAAAAATAAAATAATAAAATAAAAGGGTCTCACTCTGTTGCCCAGGCTGGAGTGCAGTGGTGCAATCTTGGCTCACTGCAGCCTCAACCTCCTGGGATCAGGCGATCCTCCCACCTCAGTCTCCTGTGTAGCTGGGACTACAGGTGCACGCCACCATTCCTGGCTAATTTTTGTATTTTTTGTAGAGATGGGGTTTTGCTATGTTGCCCAGGCTTGTCTCAAACTCCTGGGCTCAAGCAGTCCTCCCATCCTGGTCTTCCAAAGTGCTAGGATTATAAATGTGAGCCACCATGCCCAGCCAGAGTTCTGCGATTGCCCTGAGTGTCTCACCCATCTTGTTGCCCCTTCTCTGTGTCATCCCTTCTCCTTGAGTGTGGGCAGGACACTGAAACCGGATGGGATACAACCCTGTGATTAGGTTGATCAACTTGGATTATCCTAGGTGGATCTGGCCTCATCAGGGGATCTCTTAAAAGGGGATCTCTGAAGGGAGAGATTTGGAAGTGTGAGGGGCATAAGGAAGGGAGTTATGAGGCCAGGTCATGTGATCCTTCCCAGGACCTCTAGTTGCTGAGAGTGGGCCCTCTCTGACAGCTAGTAGGAAAATGGGGACCCCACATAACCTTGAAAAAATGAATTCTGCCAACAACCTGAGGGAGCTCAGAACCAAATCTTTCCCTTGCTGAGCCTTCAGAGGAAAACACACTGGGCTGGCTGGCACAGTGTTTCACTCTTGCTGCACTCCAGCCTGGGCAACAGAGGGACACTGTGTCTCTAAAAAAAAGAAAAAAAGGGCCGAGTGCAGTGGCTTACGCCTGTAATCCCAACACTTTGGGAGGCCGAGGTGGGTGGATCACTTGAAGCCAGGAGTTTGAGACCAGCCTGGCCAACAGGGTGAAACCCCGTCTTTACTAAAAAAATACAAAAATTAGCTGGACGTGGTAGTGGGTGCCTGTAAATCCCAGCTACTCAGGAGGCTGAGGCAGAAGAATTGCTTGAACCCGGGAGGCGGAGGTTGCAGTGAGCCAAGATCATGCCACTGCACTCCAGCCTGGGTGACAGAGTGAGACTCCATCTAAATAAAAAAATAGAAAAAAAATGCGCTGGGCTAGTGGGGCATAGTGGGGCACACCTATAATCCCAGCACTTTGGGAGGCTGAGTCAGGAGGATTGCTTGAGCCCAGGGGTTTGAGACAAGCCTGGGCAACAAAGCAAGACCTCGTCTCTAAAAAGAAAAAAATTAAAGTAAAAAAGTTAAAAAAAGACACAATGGGCTGACACCTTGACTTAAATCTGGTGAGATTCTGACTGGAGGACTCAACTAAGCTGCACCTGACTCTTAATCCTGAGAAGCTGTGAGACAGCGATTTTGTGTTGTTTGAAGCTATTTTGTGGTAATTTGTTATGTAGCAATAGAAAACACCATGGTCATCTGAATACATTTCCCAGTATTTCTCCTGGATAGACATAGAGAAGTGGATTTGCTGGAGTTCAAATATATGCACTTTTAAATTTTTAATAAGTATCTTCAAATTGTTCCATAAAATGTTGTATCAATTTGAATACCCATGAGGACAAAAGTAAGTATCTATTTTCCCAAACCCTTACAGGCTGATTATTATAAGTTTTAAAAGTTTTGTCAATCTGATGGGTAAAAATGATTTCTCATTTTTGTTTAAATTTTTGCTTCCTTCAATATTATTGAATGTGAGTTTCTTTGAATGTCTGTCATCTATCTATCTATCTATCTATCTGTCTATCTATCTGTCTGTCTACACTTGCCCATTCATATCTTTGGCTTTTTATTCTATTTTCTTCTTATTTTTATTTTTAAGATGGAGTTTTGCTTTTGTTGCACAGGCTGGAGTGCAATGGCGCCATCTCCGCTCACTGCAACCTCCACCTTCCAGGTGCAAGCGATTCTCTCACCTCAGCCTCCCGAGCAGCTGGGATTACAGGCGCCCGCCACCACGCCTGGCTAATTTTTGTATTTTTAGTGGAGACGGGATTTCGCCATGTTTGCCAGGCTGGTGTCAAACTCCTGACCTCAGGTGATCCGCCTGCCTCGGCCTCTCAAAGTGCTGGGATTACAGGTGTGAGCCACCGTGCCCTACTTGGTAGGCTGAGGCAGGAGAATTGCTTGAACCCGGGAAGTGGAAGTTGTGGTGAGCCAAGACTGCACCACTGCACTCCAGCCTGGGGACAAGAGCGAAGACTCTGTTCCATTAAAAGAAAAGAAAGATACATAGAGACGACAGCACGGGTCAAACCAAACTGGAGCGATGCTTCTGCTGTCTCCTCCCTCCCTCTCTCTCCTTCCTTCCTTTCTTTCTTCCATTTTGTTATCCTCCAATTTGTATACACTGATATTTATTCCTATTAAATGAGTGAAGGAGCCCTGGTTATTTTCCTGTTTCTGGAAACAGTTTATAAGAAGTACCTGCTCTTTGAAGAATTGGAAGTCACCAGTAAAACGCTTCTGCCCTTGATGTTCTTTTTTGTGGGAGAGGGAATATAATTTTGGCTATCTTTTCAGTTTTTCATCTAACCATTAGCCTGGTCTGGTTTTCTATCCTTTTCAAGGTCAATTTTTGACATTTTATTGTCCTAAAAATTACCTTTTTCATCTAGAGCTACATATGTATTCATGAAAATATATTGTTCTCTAATACTTTTTGAATTTCTTTTGAATCTGTGGTTATGACTCTTGTGATTCCAAATGCAATTTCCTTTTTTATGTTTTATTTTTTTGAGATGGGGTCTCACTCTGTCATGTTACAGCCTCACTGCAACCTAGACCTCTCAGGTTCAAGCGATCCTCCCATCTCAGCCTCTGAGTAGCTGCGACCACAGATGTGCACCACCAAGCCTGGCTAACTTTTGTATTTTTTGTAGAGGTGAGTTTTCGCCATGTTGCTCAGGATGATCTCGAACTCCTGGCTCAAGAGATCTGCCCGCCTCAGCCTCCCAAAGTGCTGGGATTACAGGCATTAGCCATCACTCCTGGCTCCAAATGCAGTTTCTTTGTAAAATATTATTTTATTTATTTGTTAGTGAATAGGTTATATATACGCATGATACAAAATTAAATAAGCACCCAGGGCGCATATATATATATATATGTTTATGTGTGTGTGTATATATATACTTATATATACTTACCCACTTTTTTGTGTGTGTGTGTATATATATATACACACACACACACACACACACAAGTCTATATATATAGACACTTCTGGCCCCCAGTTGTCAAGTTCCCCTTCCCAGAAGCAACAACTGTAATTTGTTTCTTGTGCAACCTCCACCACCCACCACAATCACTTTTAGAACATTTTCATCATTCCCAAAATAAACTCTATTTTCATTAGTTATCAGTCCCCATTTCCCCTACCCTCTTCAGCCCGTCACTAATCTAATTTCTGTTTCTAATCTTATTTCTGTTTCTAGATTTGTCTATTCTGAACTTCTGAACATTTCAAATAAAAAGTGTCATAGTAGCTGGGCACAGTGGCTCATGCCTGTCATCCCAGCACATTGGGAGGCTGAGGCAGGGGGATCATTGGAGCCCAGGAGTTTGAGATCAGCCTGGGCAACATGGCGAAACTCCATCTCAGATACAAAAATTAGCCGGGCATGGTGGCATGTATCTGTGGTTCCAGTTACTTGGGAGGCTGTGGTGGGCGGATAGCTTGAGCCCAGGGAGGTTATGGCTGCAGTGAGCTGAGACTGCACCACTGCACTCCAGCCTGGGTGACAGAGTGAGACCCTCTCTCAAAAAAAAGAAAAAAAAGCATCGTAAATATATGGTCTATTGTGACTAACTTCTTTCACTTAGCATAATGTTTGCAAGGTTCATCCTTGTTGTAACATACCAGCACTTTCTTTTCTTTCTTTCTTCTTTTTTTTTTTCCTGAGACGGAGTCTCACTCTGTTGCCCAGGCTGGAGTGCAGTGGCGCGATCTTGGCTCACTGCAACCTCCACCTCCCAGGTTCAAGCAATTCTCCTGTCTCAGCCTCCCAATGCCTGGCTGATTTTTGTATTTTTAGTAGACACTGGGTTTCACCATGTTGGCCAGGCTGTTCTTGAACTCCTGACCTCAAGCGATCCACCTGCCTCGGCCTCCCAAAGTGCTGGGATTACAGGCATGAGGCACCACGCCCGGCCCAGCACTTTATTTTCTACTGCTAAATAATATCCTCTTGTATGGATAGACCATATTTTGTTTATCCATTCATCAATTGGTGGGTATTTGGGTTGCTTTCACTTTCTGACTATTATGAATAATGCTGCTGTGAACATTCATGCACAACTTTTTGTATGAATACATGTTTTTATTTTCCTAAGACTTGAACTGATGGGCCATGTGTTAACTCCATATTTAACATTTTGAGGAGCTACCCAACTTTTTCAAAGCAGCTGCACCATTTTACATTCCTACCATCAATGTAGTGGGGTTCCAATTCCTCCACATTCTCTCCAGCACTTGTTATTTTCATTTTTTTTTCACTACAGCAATCCTACTGGGTGTGAAGTGGATCTCACTGTGGTTTTGATTTGCATTTCCCTATTCACTAATAATGGTGAGCATCTTTTCATGTACTTATTGGTTATTTGTGTATCTTTTTTGGAGAAACGTATGTTCAAATCCTTAGTTCATTTTTCAATTGAGCTATTTTAGTAGAAATGGAGTTTCATCATATTGGCCAGGTTGGTCTCGAACTCCTGACCTCATATGATCTACCCACCTCAGCCTCCCAAAGTGCTGGGATTATAGGCGTGAGCCACCGTCCTGTCCCTGGTTATCTTTTACATGCTCGATGAAGATCTGGAGACCAGCTGGCATTGGTAGCTGGTGCATATTGTTCAGCCCTAATGAGAATCCCTTAGTTTCTGGCAATGAACCTGTGTACTGACCATGGGAATCAGAACTTGGTGGCTGTATGCAGGGAGAGAAGTGCAGATGAGATAAATAGAGTCTGGAGTGGAGATGAAAGGATTAGAATGTGGGGTACAGATGAGGGGATCAGGTCAGACTGGAGAAGAACCAAGGGTAAATGTAGATGTAGAGAGATTGTAGTAGGAGTAGGCTTGATGAGGTGGAGAGTTGAGAAAACTCAAGCCTAAATGGTGTCTTTTTACTGTGAGCAGCACAAAGCCAGATTAAAGATTGTGCTTGGGGCTTGCGATAAATTGAGATAATAAATAAATTTCAAAGGCAAGGAGACCATTTTGAGATGCTTGCAACAGTTAAGGTGAATGACAGCTGTAACTAGGATGGTAGCCATGGAAAAGGAAAGGAGGGGACATATTCTAAAGACGTGGGGGAAATGACAAGGCCCAGGCTTTGTTGATCAGCTGGGTGTGGAGAGCGAGCAAGAGAGAGGGAGAGTGGCTGGGGACTCTAGTCTGGGTAAACGGGCGACTGTGCTAACAAAGAGAACTTCGGAAGAAAATGGTTTGGGGAAGATAGTGAGCAGTTTGGCCCCACTGAACCTGAGAGGACCCTGTGACATCGGGTGGGCAGCAAGTTTGGAAGCGTGGGTGTCATGCTCGGCAGGGAGGTTGGAAGCGAAGAGATTAGCCTGGGATTCATCTGCACAGAGCACCCACATGGGTGGAGGAACTGCTGAGAAAGAGTAGAGGCTAGAGCCTCAAGGAACTCCTAGAGGGTGAGAGGATGAAGAGGAAGCAGTAAAACAATCTAGAAAGGAACAAAGAAGGAAAACCAGAGCAGTCCAGAGTTATAGAAGCCAAAGGAAGGAAGTTTAAGAAGGAAGTGAGTGATCAGTAGTGTGAAATGCAGTAAGAAAGTAAATTGCAAAGACAATAAAATAATGATAGTGGCTGGGCATGGTGGCTCACGTCTGTAACCCCAGCAGTTTGGGAGGGCAAGGTGCATGGATCACCTGAGGTCAGGAGTTCGAGACCAGCCTGGCCAACATGGTGAAACCCTGTCTCTACTAAAAATACAAAACTTAGCCAGGTGTGGTGGTGCCTGCCTGTAATCCCAGCTGCTCAGTAGGCTGAGGCAGGAGAATCACTTGAACCCGGGAAGGAGAGGTTGCAGTGAGCCACTGCACTCCAGCCTGGGCAGCAGTGTGAGACTCTGTCTCAAAAATAAATAAATAAAAAATAAAAATAACGATAGTAATCACATATTGGTGCTTACTCTGGGCCTGGTTCTGGTCTAGGCCCTTAACTTATATCACTTGCATAAGCCTTATAACTACCCCATAAAGTGAGTATCGTATTGGCTCCCATTTTATAGATGGGAAAACTGAAACTAGAGAGGTAAGCAACTTGACCCACATGTCACACAGCTGGCGAGGTGGATGCCATGTTGACCCTAGAACCTACATCCTTATGAAATACTGCATTTCTTCTTAAAGCACTAGTGTATTTCTGATGTAAATCTTTATTTCTGACATAAGTCTATATTTTATATCCATACACCCTAAGTTGGAATAATCAGCTTCTCTCCTTTACCCATTGAGCTCTGGAGAATGAGAAAACCATTGCTTCATGTGGAAGAATGTGAAGAATGTTAATACATTTTAGTAACTCTGAAAAACAGTGTAAAATTTGGATCTTTAAACATAGAATTTATTCCACACACTTGGTCCTTGTTATTAGGGGAATTCATTGCCTCAACACTACCCGCAATAGAAAAGCCATCAAGGCCAGGAATGGTGGCTTACGCCTGTAATCCCAGCACTTTGGAAGATCAAACTGGGAGGATTGCTTGAGCCAAGGATTTTAAGACCAGCCTGAACAATATTGGAGGGGTCCACACACACAAAAAAACCATCCAGTGAGTTTAGTAAATAGTGATCATGTCAGTCCTGCTTCAAGGCCTCCAGCTGATGCCATTATGCTTGGCATGGTATGTGTGGAGTGGCACATGAGAACCTTGGTGTGGCATGGGAGAATCTTGTTGGTCTTGTCCTGGCCAGAGTCTCCGGCCTTGCCTCTCTCCATTCCACCTGATGCTATGCTCCCAGAATGGCCACACAGAATGGCTTTGCATCGCTGGGGCCACCTCTCCCAGGACCTGTTCACATGCTGCCTCCTTCAAGCACTCTTCCTCCTCCCCACTCCCTGGGCTGACCATGCAGCTCGGGTGACCACTTTAAAACACAAATCTAGGCTGGGCGTGGGGCTCACGCCTGTAATCCCAGCACTTTGGGAGGCTGAGTTGGGTGGATCACTTGAGGCCAGGAGTTCCAGACCAGCCTGGCCAACATGGTGAAACCCTGTCTCTACTAAAAATACAAAAATTAGCTGGGCATGGTGGCACACGCCTGCAATCCCAGCTACTCGGGAGGCTGAGGCAGGAGAATCGCTTGAACCGGGGAAATGGAGGTTGCAATGAGCCAAGATCGTGCCACTGCACTCCAGCCTGGGCAATAGAGTGAGATTTTGTCTCAAAAAAGAAGGAAAAAAAAAAAAAAAAAGAAAAGCATTTCCTTCCATCTTATCATTAGGGTCTCAGCATAAAAATCACCAACTTGTGCCTGTAATCTCAGCACTTTGGGAGACCAAGGCTTGGGGGGATATCTTGAGCCTTGGAGTTCGAGGCCAGCCTAGGCAACATAGTAAGACTCATCTCTACAAAAAACTAAACAATTATCCAGGCATGGTGGCACATACCTGTAGTCCCAGCTACTCAGGAGGCTGAGGCAGCAGGATCGCTTCAGCCCAGGAGCTCAAGGCTGCAGTGAGTTGTGATCACGCTACTGCACTCCACCCTGGGGAACAAAGCAAGACCCCTTCCCTAAAAAAAAAAAGTATACACACACACACATTTCAATATATAAGTTTTATAAAATATATATTTTATATTTATATCATTACAATATATAAAGAATATTTTAAATGAAATATATGTCATATATTTTATTTTTAAAAACTATATATACACCTCCCCGGGCCCTGGAGGACTCTGTGTCATACTCCTCTATCCATTAGTGGGTCTTTTCCCTATGCCGTATTTCAGCACTCAGAGCAGTGTCGCACACATGATAATCAGTACTAGCTGAATGGATGTAAGTGTTAGGGTCACTGCTCCAGGCACTCTTCCCTGACTCCAACTGCTCAACCCCTATCTTGGTTTAGGCTCTGCTTTGATGTGCTCACATGGAGCCTGGGCGTCTCTAGGGTCCAGCACCTTCACACTGGGTTGTAACCGTGTCCTGGCATGACTGCCCCATACCCCATGAGCCTGGAGGCCCCAGATAACTCATCTTGGTATTTATTCCCAGAGTGTGGCAGAGCACAGACCTGCAACCAATGTCTATTGGATATGAGTGAATGAGGAAAGGGGAAGCGAGAACGACTCTCGAAGTTGAGAGTCCCCTCTTCCTGTGACTCCAAGAAAACGTGTGGGTTCCCTTGTGTCCCTCCTCCTGGCAGAAACAGGAATTAGTCATTGTTCCAAAGCAAAGGCTGAGCGTCTGCACCCCTGGCTGCTCATTTCTAGATTTTTTTTTTTTTGAGATGGAGTCTTGCTCTGTCACCCAGGCTGCAGTGCAGTGGCATGATCTCGGCTCGCTGCAAGCTCCACCTCCTGGGTTCATGCCATTCTCCTGCCTCAGCCTCCTGAGTAGCTGGGACTACAGGCGCCTGCCACTAGGCCTGGCTAATTTTTTTTTTTTTGTATTTTTAGTAGAGATGGGGTTTCACCGTGTTAGCCAGGATGGTCTTGATCTCCTGACCTCGTGATCCGCCCGCCTCGGCCTCCCAAAGTGCTGGGATTACAGGCATGAGCCACCGCGCCCGGCTCATTTCTAGATTTGTCTGTTCAGGACAACCTTCCTCGGAGAGGCAGGTACTGGAGGATCCCTGTGAAGGCAGGCCAAAAGGGGCAGATTGCCCTGGAGGTGTGTCCTCTGGAGGAGAGGGTAATGTTCAGAAACTGGCCTAGCTGATTTTCATTAATCTGCCTTTCAGTGAAATTGTAGGGTGCAAAATGGAACAATACAATAACTTAACAATCGCCATCCGCAAAACTATTTTAGACAAAAGCAGTTTTCATTCAACCTGATTTTGGTGAAATAATTAGGAAACCTTTAAAAATCAAATTTCTGGATTTAAGTGTCAAACATTGTTTAAGAATTAATATTGCTAAAATTTAGCTTTCTAGATTGCTTATTGATTTTTTAAATAAAATGCCACACTTAGGCACTAACCTGATCGCCCTTCCATAACAGTGATGCTAAGATTGAGGTGGCATAATTAATTAAATTACATGAGGTGGGAGGCATTTAGTTCTTACTCTTGAGGAGAAATACAGTTCAGAAGGGCACATGGAAATAAAAAAAATTTAACAAATAAATCCAATTAAATGAATGTCCTTTGCCTTTCTCATGCCACCGTCCTTCCATGATTTCTTTTTTTTTTTTTTTTTGAGACAGAGTCTTGCTCTGTCGCCCAGGCTGGTGTGCAGTGGTGCGATCTGGGCTCACTGTAACCTCTGCCTCCTAGGTTGAAGCGATTTTCCTGCCTCAGCCTCCCAAGTAGCGGGATTACAGGCGCCTGCCACAACTCCTGGCTAATTTTTTGTATTTTTAGTAGAGATGGGTTTTCACCATGTTAGCCAGGATGGTCTCTGTCTCCTGATCTCATGAACCACCCACCTCAGCCTCCCAAAGTGTGGGATTACAGGCGTGAGCCACCACGCCCGGCCCCATACCCATTTCTGACTGCCCTGATTCCTTCCCCTCACCGCAGTCTCCACCAATTCTTTCCCCCAGCTCCTCAAAACACGTTTGATTCCAAGTCACACTTCCTTGTTCAAAACTATAGCCACAGGCATGGCCTCAGCAAGCTGGCATTCAGATTGCAGATCTCACTGTACAAAAGCAAGGGGAAAAATAGTTTGGGGCAGAATGAGCCTTGAGAGAGAAAACAATGATGTAAGGTAGATTATTATATTTTAATAAATATGGTTAGATACAAATAAAGGTTGTATTACAACACAATACAGTGTTGCATGCAGCCACACCATTGCCCCGAGATACTGACCCCCAAAGTGACACGGCCCTCCCACCATAGCCCTTGCAGAAGTGCTGGAAGAAACAAAGTGTCCCAGAACTTGAAGGTACCACCTGCTAGTCCCCATGTACTATGAAGCCACTGGGCTGAGGGTGAGGGTTGGCATTTTTAGTCCACTCCTCAGATGCATTTCCAAAAGCATAGGCAGTAGAAATGACTTTCAGCACTATTTACAATAGCAAAGACACGGAACCAACCCAAATGCCCATCAATGATAGACTGGATAAAGAGAATGTGGCACATATACACCATGGAAAACTATGCAGCCATAAAAAGGAATGAGTTCATGTCCTTTGCAGGGACATGGATGAAGCTGGAAACATCATCCTCAGCAAACTAATCCAGGAACAGAAAGCCAAACACTGCATGTTCTCACTCGTAAGAGGGAGTTGAACAATGAGAACACATGGACACAGAGAGGGGAACAATACACACCAGGGCCTGTTGGGGGTAGGGGGGTGAGGGGAGGGAACCTAAAGGACAGTTCAATAGGTGCAGCAAACCACCATGGCACATGTATACTATGTAACAAATCTTCACGTTCTGCACATGGATCCCGTTTATGTTTTTGTTTGTTTTGTTTTTTTTTAAGAAGAAAAGAAAAAAACTGACTTTATTTCTACTGATACTATTTGTAATGATTATAGCTTCCCCTGTTTTGTGTTGAACTGTTTGTTTTTGAGAAACTTGTATTACTGTTTTTTCTTTTTTTATCTTTTAGTTATTTTTTCATCCTCCTCCTTTTGTAACTGTTGTGTTTTGGACAGAGTGGGCTAGAGCAAAGGTTCTTAGAGGCCCTGGGCCCCACCTCCTGGCAGAGCCTCCTTTTTCCTGAATAAGTGTCTTTTTAATTTTTTTAATTTAAAAATTTCTTTAGAGATAGTTTTGCACTGTTGACCAGGTTGGAGTGCAGTGGTGCAATCACAGCTCACTGCAGCTTAGAACTTCTGGGCTCAGGCGATCCTCCTGCCTCTGCCTCCCCAGTGTCTGGGACTACAGGTGTGCACCATCATGCCCAGCTAATTATTTTTTTTCTTTTAAGAAACAGGATCTCACTATGTAGCCCAGGCTGGTCTCGAACACCTGGGCTCAAGCAATCCTCCTGCCTCAGCCTCCCAAAGTGTTGAGATTACAGGTGTGAGCCACATGTCCAGCCCTAAATAAGTGTCTTGATTCCATTCTTGCCCCTAACTTTTACTCCCAGATCTTGGCTGAAATGTATATTCTCACTGCTCTTTGTCAATAAATTAGCCCTGCTGGTCAGATGGGTCGCCTGGTCGACCTTGAGCTCAGGTGCCTCTGGGCCGCCTGTGAAGGCTTCTTCCAGAGAGGTATCTGCATAATGCCACTCAAGATGCTAACTTAATCTATCGACCTGCATCCTTGCTTCCATGCCAAAAACGAGTCATGGTGTTTCCAAATGTTTTCATGCAACTTCTAACACTGCTAAGCTCTGGGGGTTTTGTTCATCATTTCTTCTCTCTCTGAAGGCATGAGCTCCACCCATATTTTGTAAAGGCTTTCCATGAAGATGGTCCAGAATTTCCTATTTCAGTCTCTCGTACATGGCCTTTCCCATCTTTTCTCTCTTGTTCCCTCCTTTCTGTGGTGTGGCTGTCCCCAGGACATCCTGGACAGATTCCACCACTCTGGTCATTGCCAGGTCTTTCTAGCAGCCCACACCTTGCCTTCTCTGAGTGGGTGGACCTTGAAAAGCATAGAGGGACTTTGAAGCCTCGGCTGTTGTGACCATCACTAGAGTTGAAACCTTAACTCAGGTGTGAAAAATGGATCTGGCTGTTTTCCCAAACCTGAAGCCCCTTTAAATCCCCTATAAAGTGCTACAGAGGTGACAAAGACAGATGGGCTTCCCTTAGGAGTATATTTCCCAGTGGGAGATAAGAAAAGGTAAACAAAGATGATGCCCCAAAGGAGGGTGGGATGAGGGCTATTTGGTGAGATAAAGGAACCTATTTTCTCATGTTGATGCCCCTTTCCTCCATAAACTCACTGCAGCAAGGAATGTCGGGAGCAGACAGGACCATGAGGAAAACATCTACCATTGTCTTCCCCATCCAACAGATTCATTTCATCCATCTCTCCAAACCTGCCTCTGGGCCCTGCTTTCCCCATTTCTATAACTGCACCACCTTCTCCCTGTCGTAGGTCACATGGGACCCCTTGCTGCCCTCCTTCCTTCAGGACTCACTGGGGCAAATCCAGTAGATTCCATCTCAAACTGCCTTCTTCTTTCCTCTCTTTCCTGATTGTGTGTGTATATATATACGTGTGTGTGTATGTATATATGTATATATACATACGTGTGTGTATGTATATATGTATATATACATACGTGTGTGTATGTATATATGTATATATACATACGTGTGTGTATGTATATATGTATATATACATACGTGTGTGTGTATGTATATATGTATATATACATACACACACACACATACACACACACACACATATATATATATTTTTTATTTTTTTAATTTTTAAAATTGTTTTTTAAGAGACAGGGTCTTGCTCTGTTGCCCAGGCTGGAGTGCAGTGGCATGATCATGGCTCACTGCAGCTTTGGACTCCTGGGCTCAAGTGATCCTCCTGCTTCAGCTTCCCAAGTAGCTTGGACTATAGGCATGTGTCACCATACATGGCTAATTAAAAACAAATTTTAGTAGAAAACAAACACAAAAACAAAATATTTTTAGTAGAGATGAAGTCTTGCTATGTTGCCCAGGCTGGTCTTGAACTCCTGGGCTCGAAGGATCCTTCTCCTGCAGCCTTCCCAAGTGCTGGGATTTCGGGCGTGAGCCACCGCCCTGGCCTCCTGGACTCTGTAAATCTGGCAGACCAGCCCATGCATCATACCCGTGATACCCCTGCCTGTGTCTGTCTTCCTCCTGCTCTTGGTGCTGAGCCCTTGGTCCTGGCCTCCTGCTCGATCTACCCTATGGCCTCCTAGATGTGCTACCTTCTCTCATTTGCTACCTTTATTTGGATCTCTGGTTTTCAGTGTGGTTTCTGGCTTGGCTGGAGCCCAGCCCTCCTGCCAGAGCATGTTGTAGAGACAGGCAGCCCCTTTGCTTTGATGCGACTTTCCTTCAAGTGCGAGAGGCTTGACAGAGAGAACAGGTTGAAGGGACAGTTTCTGAGGGGGCACTGTAGAGGCCAAACCTTCTCTCATGTCCCTGCTAAAAAGCCTCTAGGAAACCTGCAGAAGACCTAGGATCTGAGCCATATTTGTTAAACAAAAACTCTAGTTGCAAAACAGGTTATAAGCCATATATATAAATGCTTGGGAAAAGTGCTGGAAAAATATAAACCAAACTGATCAAAGGAATATTCCGTGCCTCCCTCTATAGTCATTATAGCAGGGACGTACTAATATAATGTGTTTTGTGTATATACTTTTTTATTTTTTTTTTGAGATAAGAGTCTCACTCTTGTCACCCAGGCTGGAGTGCAATGGCCCAACCTCAGCTCACTGCAACCTCTACCTCCCGGATTCAAGCGATTCTCCTGCCTCAGCCTCCCAAGTAGCAGGGATTACAGGCGCCCACCATCATGCCCAGCTAATTTTTGTACTTTTAGTAGAGATGGGGTTTCGTCATGTTGTCCAGGCTGGTCTCGAACTCCTGACGTCAGGTGATCCATCCACCGACCTCCCAAAGTGTTGGGATTACAGGCGTGAGCCACTGTGCCTAGCCATATGTTCCTTTTTTTTTTTTTTAATGGAAAAATGAAACCAAGCTTACAAGTGCTGGAGAGGACAGCCTTTAGTGGTGTCTCTGACAATCCCAACCCAGTTCTGGGGGCTGTCCACTCCGTGGTAAGATCCATAAAAAAAGATTGCAGCGTGGGCTCTGTTGGTTAGGGGCTAGCTTAATACAGTCCAGTATGCTTCCTTAGGCTGCTGAGACACAAGATAGGAAGGCCTCTGGGGAAGATTGGAATAGGTCATATGAGCTTGGCCTACTGGGACATGGGAGAGGATAAAGCAGATGTTGGCTCAATTAACAATTACCTTGTCAGTGAAGTAAGCCGAATATTACTACCACGGGAATTGGAGTAATGCTACAATTTAATTTTTATTATTTAGATTAAATTGTTGTGAACTTACTATATTTTGTTATTGTGGACTTTACTTATCACATACTATAGGTATCACAATGGCAGGGCCCCAGAAATACTGTTTTCTGGGTTCTCCCCAGAGTATGGTTGATTCCTAGTTTAGTAAACTATACAGCTAATGTGTGTAAACTGTCTTAATTACTGTGGTATCTGGCTTTTTTTTTTAATTGTATAAAAACCTTTTTGTAGAGATGAGCTTTCACTATGTTGCCCAGGCTGGTCTTAAACTCCTGAGCTGAAGTGGCATGCTAGGATTACAGCTGTGAGTCACCGTGCCCAGCCAGGTTTCTTTTCTTTCCTTTCTTCCTTCCTTTCTTCCCTTCTTCCTGCCTCCCTGCCTCCCTCCCTCCCTCTCTCCCTCTCTCTTCTCTTCTCTTCTCTTATTTTTTTCTTTTCTTTTCTTAAGGTCTGGCTCTGTTGCTCAGACTGGGATGCAGTGGTACAATCTCAGCTCACTGAAACCTCCTCCTTCCCTGCTCAAACCATCCTCCCAACTCAGCTTCCCTAGTAGCTGGGACCGCAGCCACAGGCCACCATGCCTGGCTAATTGTGTGTATGTGTGTGTGTGTATTTTTTGTAGAGATGGGGTCTCATGATGTTGCCCAGGCTGGTCTCGAACTCCTGGGCTCAAGCAATCCTCCCGCCTCGGCCTCCCAAAGTGCTGGATTACAGGTGTGAGCCACCAAGCCGCACCTCTGACTTTGTTTCATTTTATTTATTTATTTATTTTTTTTTAGACAGCATCTTGCTCTGTTGCCCAGGCTGGAGTGCAGTGGCACGATCTCAGCTCACTGCAACCTCTGCCTCCCAGGTTCCAGCGATTTCCAGCTAATTTTTGTATTTTTAGCAGGGATAGGGCTTCACCATGTTGGCCAGGCTGGTCTGGAGCTCCTGACCTCAAGTGATCCGCCTGCCTCCGCCTTGCAAAGTGCTAGGATTACAGGCATGAGCCACCACACCTGGCCTGACTTTGTTTTAATTACCCAGTTTCTACATTCTCTTGACTCACCTGCAGATAGAACAGTAAATCTCATTTCTTATTGGCCAATTAGATGTTGTTTTATGATTTTTTAACAAATAGCAGGTTTTCTGGTCTCATCCGCCTTGATGTTGGGATTGCAAAAGGCTCTATCCATCATTTGTGGATATTGTCAAACATATTTGTAGGTGCATGCTTTCCTTGGTCTACCATAATTCTCTTTTCAAATCTTGTTGTTCTTCTGCAGGCATAAGAAGGAACCACTTCATAGCTTTGGAATTGGAGGTAGAAATAACACTCTACTGAAGAATCGAACTTGGTTGCTGTGTTTATAGAGAGCAGTCTCTGACCCGAGGAATGTTCAGATCCTTGTGCTAACGAGCTGTGTTATAATGGAGTTCTCTTGGTCTTAGAACACTGCATTTTGCTGACAGAATTCCCTCAGCTCCATCATGAAACACGTTTTGGTGCCAGAGAGATTGAAATCTGTTGAAACAAAATGATTTCCTCAGTTGGTGATGCATTTGGGCATTTTCCATTCTTGCTAATGAAAAAAAGAGTCTTTGCTCATGTGACTGAGAAAGCCTGGTGAAATATGCCACGAACATCCTGAACTGAGTCCTGGCCCCAGAGCACTGATGGCGAAGTCTTATATTTTGACATGAAGCCCAACATGGCGTAAAGAGCTAGCCAGCATTGTAATGCTGCCTGAGTTGGTCTTTGGCCTTCTCTAGCTTGACTTTTCTGGGGATTGACTACCCCTGGATGCCTGGAGCTTTTCAAGAGGCGATTGTTTCCTTGTGGCTTGTCTATGCTGACAATTCCTGGAGACTCCACCTCCTCTTTGAGTTCCCCTGGGCAGGCTCTATTCCCTAAGAGCGCCACTCTAAGCTTATTGTTTCATGGAAAACCAGTCTTTCAAGACAAAGGGTTGTGGGTCAACAATGGCTTTCCCTTGGAGCTATTTTTATTTTACTAGGAGATTCCTGGTAAAATTACCAGTGCCTTCATCGAAGTAAATAAATCTGTGATGTAGGGAATTTGAGGTATGTGGCATGACAAGTTGGGTAGAAAATTTTGCCTGGGAGAGGGGTTCTTTTCAACAGCTCCTTCTCCCCAAACGTAGGAACTGAACATTTTACAAACCATCCTAGTTAAGTCTCTTCATGTCTGTTTCCTCATCTATAAATAAATATAGATGATGATTTAATAATTGTTTCCTGCTCTAACATTTTCTGATTCCATGAAATAAGTGATTTCCTGGTACCAGTGAGATAGAGGTCATCTGCTTTATTTTCCTAGACACATATGGCTCACCAATTCTTAAAATTTGTATTGAATTTTTGTACACCCAGGTTCACAGTAGCATTATTCACAATAGTCGACAGGTGGAAGCAACCCAAGTGTCTACTCATGGATGAATGAATAAACAAAATATGGTGTATACCTACACGGACTATTATTCAGCCTTAAAAAGGAAAGAAATCTTGCTACATACTACATCAATGAAGCTTGGAGACATTATACTAAGTGAAGTAAGCCAGTCACAAAAAGACAAACATTGTATGATTCTACTTTTTATTTTTATTTATTTTATTTTTTTTGAGATGGAGTCTCACTCTGTTGCCCTGGCTGGAGTGCAGTGGCGTAATTTCCGCTCACTGCAGCCTCTGCCTCCTGGGTTCAAGTGATTCTCCTGCCTCAACCTCCTGAGTAGCTGGGATTACAGGCACATGCCACCACACTCAGCTAATTTTTGTATTTTTAGTAGACACAGGGTTTCACCATATTGGCCAGGCTGGTCTCGAACTCCTGACCTCAAGTGATCCTCCTGCCTCAGCCTCCCAAAGTTCTGGGATTTCAGGCATGAGCCACCACACCTGGCTACTTTTTATTTTTTTTTGAGAGATAGGGTTTCTTTTTCTTTTTCTTTCTTTTCTTTTGAGACAAGGTCTCACTCTGTTGCCAAGGCTGGAGTGCAGTGGTGCAATCGTGACTCATTCCAGCCTCAACCTCTGGGCTCAAGTGGTCCTCCCACTTCAGCCTCCCAAGAAGCTGGGACCACAGGCCTATGCCACCATGCCTGACTAATGTTTTGATTTTTTTTTTTTTTTTTTTGCAAAAACGGTCTTGCTATGTTGCCTAGGCTGGCCTCAAAATCCTGGGCTCCAAGCCATCCTCCTGCCTCAGCCTCCCAAAGTGTTAAGATTACAGGTTTGAGCCGCTATGCCCGGTCAAGACAGGGTTTCACTGTGTTTCCCAGGCTGGAGTGCAGTGGCGTGATCATAGCTCTTGTGTAGCATTGAACTTCTAGGCTCAAGCAATCCTCCTACCTCAGCCTCCCAAGTAGCTGGGACCTCAGGCACGTACCATCACACCTGGATAATTTTTTTATTTTTAATTTTTTGTAGACTTGGTGGTCTGTGTTGCCCAGGCTGGTCTCAAACTCCTGGCTTCAAGTGATCCTCCTGCCTAAGCCTCCCAAAGTGCTGGGATTATAGGCATGAGCCATAGTGCCTGGCCCAGATCATTTTTTAAAATTGTAGGTCATGAAACAGGAAGGTGCATGACATATTTGCCAAGTATCGCTACTCACTTAAATGTAACAGATGTGGTCTGATACAGAAAATGTGTGGGTGATGGAATGCTCTCCTCCTTTCTCATTCTCGTGATTATGATAAAAAGGTCTAAGCAAGCATGTTTGTACCCCTCAAGCACTGAATTTAGATTTGGAATTTCCTTTTAAAAAAAACACTTAGTATAAAATGTAAAGGAACTTATTAAAAGGAAATAATGAGACTTATTTCTTTCTAAATAAGAGTCTCTGCATGCATCTGAGATGAGTCCAGAGGTCACTGTTTAGCATGACCTTGGAACACTCATCATGTCGCTGCACAGATAGGAAAATGGCATCAAGGCAGGGCTGGTGGGAGCTGGAAGGGAAAGCATCTAGACAAAGCCAGCGTGGTTATTTAATTTTCCCTGCCTTTTTTTTTTTTTTGAGATGGAGTCTTACTCTTCTCCCAGGCTGGAGTGCAGTGGCACAATTTCAGCTCATTGAAACCTCCATCTCCTGGGTTCAAGCGATTCTCCTGCCTCAGCCTCCCGAGTAGCTGGGATAACAGGCATACGCCACCAGACCTGGCTAATTTTTGTGTTTTTTTTAGTAGAGATGAGGTTTCGCCATGTGACTAGTCTAGAAATCCTGACCTCAGGTGATCCACCCACCTTGGCCTCCCAAAGTGCTGGGATTACAGGTGTGAGTCACCGTGCCCGGCCTAATTTTCTCTTAATGCAACTTTTTTTTTTCCCAGCACAGTAAAATACATATTTACAAATAATTTTCCTTAACCATTTTTTTTATTTTGGTAAAATATACATAATATTTGCCATTTTGACCATTTTTAAGTGTGCGGGTCAGTGGCAGTAAGCACATTCCACACTCACATCGTGGTGCAGCCAGTACCACCATCCGTCTCCAGAACTTTTTCATCTCCCCAAACTGAAACTCCATCCCCATGAAACAGCAGCTCTCCACTCCCCCTCCTACAGCCCCTGGCAATCACCATTCTACTTTCTGTCTCCATGAGTTTGACCACTCTAGGAACCTCATTCAAGTGGAATCAGACAGTCTGTGTCTTTTCGTGCCTGGCTTATTTCACTGAGCATAACATCATCCAGGTTCATCCATGTTGCAGCGTGTGACCCGATTGCCTTCCTTTTACAGGCTGAAGGGTATTTTATTGCGCGCATCTACACATTTTGTTTATCCCTTCATCTGTCAATGTATATTTGGGTTGTTTCTCATTATAGGTAATTTTGGAAATTACAGAAACATGTAAAGAAAAAGAGAAAAATACAGCTGTGTCATAACCTCATTGCTGGAGGCAGCCGCTGTTAACATCTTGTGGCGAACACTGAGCTTCATGGCTGACTCTTCACAATTGTAAGTGATGAATATCTTCATCTGAATTTCTGATCATGATTCTTATAAAGGGAATAACTGTGGGAGGGAGTGACGGAGGTGGGCACGGGTTGAAAGCCCATCTATCTGGGAGTATGTTCACTACTTGGGCGACAGGATTATTAGAAGCCCAAACCTCAGCAGCAGGTAATATATCCACGTAATAAACCTGCATATGTACCCCCTGAATCCAAAACAAACAAATAAGTAAATAAAAGAGAATCACTGGGCCAATGGATATGGATAACTTAGAGTACTTGATGGACAATGCCAAAAGGGCTTCCAGAAATAACTCTGAAATTTTAGACCTGGGAACTGAGGAGCACAGAGGCTTCCTTTGTGTCTTTGTGATTCTCTTTACAGTGAGAAAATATGCCAATAAAAAGCTGAATTTATGCATTTAGCTGAATAGTTTCACATGTGCAAACTCTTGGTGACACACAAATAAAATACTGAATGCTTATTTTACTTTTTTTTTTTAGTGATGGGGATCTTGCTATGTTGCCCAGGCTGACCTTGAACTCCTGACCTCAAGCTGCCCTCTTGCCTCAGCCTCCCGAGTTGCTGGGATTACAGGTGTGAGCTGCTGCACCTGGCCGATTTAGTTTTCTGTATGAGATTTGGTACTCTGAATATTTCTTTCATCCAGGAGAGAGTTATTGCTTCTATGTGCAGATCTTATTTGCATTTGGGATCAGGGACTGGAAAGGGCTCAGGGGTTTATATCATTGCACCGATTTACAAGAGGTGTTGACAGCGGGGAGGAGGATCTGAGATCAGGGACATCACGAGGAGGCTGTGCTGAGCCTCATTTCCTGCTGCCTTGAGCAACGTCTCCCATTCCAGTGACTGTGGGAGGGCTGTGCCTCATGGGAGAAGGCTGCTTTATAGTCTGGGCCTCAGCCCCACGCTCCGGGACTCTCCATGTGAGGTTGCAAACCAGCCCAGCAATGGTCCTGGGTCCAGATGAGCCTTTGTCAACAATGGGCAACCACTTTGAGATACCAGCTTGCCCAGACTGGGCAGTTTCTTTCCAGAGGCAATGTGGTTTTGTTGATGGAGCGCCTCACTGAGCATCGGAAGTCCAGCCCTGCCATTCTTTAACTTGGTGACCTTGAGGATGTTGTGGGCTGCTTTGAGTCTTGTTCTGGTTTCCTCAGTGAGAATCAATGCAGAAAGTTGTATTAAAGGCACTTGGTAACCAGGAAAGGTCTAAATACACATCTGATATTGTTATTACTCCAGAAGCAATTATTTCACGCTGCAAAGGTGGAGGTATTTAACAACTTGGATAGCAACTGACTTTCTGAGATTTTATAATCATTGTAACAATATCACTTAAAAAATATAGCATTTCTTACTCATATTATTGCTTGATGTATTTCATTTAATGCCATTTTACATTTGCCAGGTTCTGTTACCCACGTTGTCTCATACAGCAACACCATGAATAGGTGCTTCCACTTCTATTTGCAGAGGAACGTGATGTCCCATGAGGTTTAGGGATGTATTCGAGCTCACACAGCAGCAGAGCTAGGGAGAAACGCAGGGCTCCTGGATTCAAGCCCAGCATATTCTATAGCAAACCCCCAAACCATAACTTCCTCAGACTGGAAGATTCCTGTGGGCATTTCCTGCTTTACCTTGTGTAACCTCGGGTAAGTCACTGCACACTGAGGACCAGGCAAGCTGGAGTTCAAGGGACACAAAAGTTCTTCCCAGATGTAAAATTCTGAATTTCTCTGGCATTGCCTCTCCAGGCAGTGTTTGCGGGTTTTCCTTTTGTCGCTGTTTTACAGGACCATGACTTCCCGCTGTGCCAGGAGTAACGGAGAGGACAGAACTGAGTCGTGAACACATTCCACTGCACCCCACTCCACCCAGTGTAGACTACACACAATATGCTTCTTTTTGTTGTTGTTAATTTTAAAGGCAAGAGGTTTATTGTTTATTAGCCATTCCGAGACAGTCTATTTCTAGCCGTTATTGCCTATTTTGCAAACACTCTTTAGGGATATGTACATATTGTGGTGTTTGACCCTGCAAATAAGGGTTTCTTATTATCCACAAAGGCTCACACTGCCATATGAAAAAGCGACATTAATATCTTACATTTTCCCTCCCTGTGGCTAATGCTAACCGGCAATCTGTGTTCACCATTTTCAGACTGTTCTCGCAGGGAGGAAGAAAAAGGGCTTCTTATGCTATTTGTGAGCGTGGGACGTGGCAGAAAGTTGAAGGAAAGGTAAATGGTTAAGGTTTTAGTGCTTTTTCCATTTTCAGATGTGTGGAAATCCTTGCTGGGCACAGGAGTGGGAGTAACCAAACTTTGGTGTGCTGGGCCTGACGTTATGCACACTTATAATGCTATCCAAACTTGGCCTCGGCATGGGCCTCCAGAACAGCCCTCTGTGAGCGCTGGCCGTGGAAAACCATCTACCGAGACCAGCAAACCCAGAGTCTACTCAATACCAGGAATTGTCCCGCCCAGAGCAGTTCTGATCTCTGTGGGGTTGGGTGATGCTAATCAAGGAAATTATAGGCTGTCCAGCCACCAGGCCTTTTAAAAAGATTATGGGGTGACTTACCGATCTTGAGGTGGGTCAGAGGTTTTGAGGGAAGGTTACATGTTAAGCCTGTAGTTAGCCTTGAAAAGGCCTGGCTTAGACTCTCAGGGCTCACGAGATTGGACTTGGAATCTCAGAGAGATGTAGGTACAGTGGGGAAAGTAACAGGCCAAAAGAGATCTACCTGGGCTCTTGTCCTGGTTCCAACTCAGCCAGCGAGTGGATTTGGTCGCTTATCCTCTGTGAGCCGCGGCTGGCTCATTCGCGAAGTGGGGGTTGTCTAGCCCTTCCATCCTATGGGGCAGGGTACTGCAGCTCAGCAAGCACAGTGACGTGCTCAGATTTCCCCGGTGGAGTAGAGTCAGAGCCTGGACTACCGCCCACGTGTTCTGATGCCCAGGCCAGGACACCTCCTATGGCCAATGTCATTTCATTTCAGTGATTCTCCATCAGATTTTGACCTGATATCATTTCATTTCAGTGATTCCCCATCAGATTTTTTACACCCCTTTGGCAGCTATTCTGCTGCTTCAGAGTCTTCTTGTAATGCATTTCCTACGTAATGAAAGAGGTGTCACTGGGTGTCACAACCACGAAAAGAGTGAATAGAAAAGAAGGAGTTTGGGAAACTTCAGTGTGAATGATGACCATTGCCCCTTGTTTTTGTGCCCCCCAACTTCCTACCTGGAAGTCCTAATCTCCAGTACCTCAGAAGGTGACCTTGGAAATAGGGTCACTGCAGGCGTAATTAGTTTAAATGAGGTCACACTAGAGTAGAGTAAGTGCCTAATGGGATATGACTGGTGTCCTTATAAAAGGGAAATTTGGACACAGAACACACACAGGGAGAATGCCATGTGAAGATGAAGGCAAAGGCCAAGCGCAGTGGCTCACGCCTGTGATCCCAACACTCTGGGAGGCTGAGGTGTAGGAAGATCTTGAGCACAGGAGTTGGAGTCCGGCCTGGGCACCATGGCAAAACCCTGTCTCTACCAAAAAAAAAGAAAAAAAATCAGCTGGGCATAGTGACATGCACTTGTAGTCCCAGCCACTTGGGAGGCTGAGGTGGAAGGATGGCTTGAGCCTGCGAGGTCAAGGCTTCATTGAGCTATGATAGCATCACTGCACACCAGCCTGGGAGACAGAGTTGAGACCCTGTCTCAAAAAAAAAAAAAAAAAAAAAAAATAGGCTGGGCGTGGTGGCTCATACCTGTAATCCCAGCACTTTGGGAGGCTGAGATGGGAGGATTGCCTGAGCCCAGGAGTTCAAGACCAGCCTGGGCAACATGGTGAGACCCCGTCTCTAAAAATAAAAATAATAAAAATAAAAATAAATAAAATAAAAAGATAAACACAGAGATTGAGAGGATGCTTCCACAAGTCATAGGACACCAAAGATTGCTGGCAAACCACCAGAAGCTGAGAAAAAGTGATGGAACAGGTTCTCCCCCACAGCCTTTGAAAAGAAGTGTTGAATTCAATAAGCAGGAGGCTGTTGGCCTGAGGCTGTCTCTAAGAGTTCCCACACAACAAGCCACAACCTAACTTAATAGTACATTTTTGTAACAAATAGGTTTCAGCCAATCAGCAGCAGCCAACAAATCACACCATGCATTCTCCCTGTGTGTGTTCTGTGTCCAAATTTCCCTTATTATAAGGACACCAGTAATATCCCATAAGGCAAATGCCTAGTTATAGCCAATCAGGTGATTTGTCTACTTTGCCTCCCCATCTTTGGCCTATAAAAGCTCTCTGTTCACAAGGCTAGGTGGGGTTCTCTGAACCTCTTCTTTTTCAGATGGCTGCCCTATTCATGAATCATTCTTTGGTCATGTAAACTCTGCTAAATTTAATGTGTCTGAAGTTTTCCTTTTAGTAGAAGCAACTCTGCTAACACCTTTATTTTGGACTTACAGTCTCTAGAACTTTGAGTTGATAAACTTCTGTTAAGCCCCCCAGTCTATGAATTTGTAATGCAGTCTGACATTTGCAATGCACTAGCAAAGTAATGCACTCTTCTCATTCCATGCTCTTCTCCGAGAGCACTTCAGTGGTTGCCCATGGTATTGCTTTCTTCAGCTATTCTCTCACCCAAATGTTTAACACCTTTCTAAAATATTTCTTTTTAGTACTGGTAACAGGCAAAAGACGTTAAGGAAAAAATAAATACTCCATTTAATTTTAAGACTTAAAATTAAGTTTAGTTTTAGTTTACTTTCTTTTTTTTGACACTGAAAATGCAAATACTCTTTCTGAAACAATGTATTTGACAAATTTTCTCAGCGATTTTATTGGTGTCCTGCTGTCGAGGAGAATAACCTAGGGTCATTTATTCCTCAGTCCAGTCCCAGAGTTTCTATGGCCTGGGAAATTTGTGTCAAACTCTGCCTATAACAGAGACTGTGCTCCTTTCCCTCCCTCCCTCCCTCCCTCCCTTCCTCCCTTCCTCCTTCCCTCCCTTCCTTTTTTCACAGAGTTTCTCTCTTGTTGCCCAGGCTGGAGTGCAATGGCACAATCTCAGCTCACCCCAACCTCCACCTCCTGGGTTCAAGTGATTCTCCTGCCTCAGTCTCCCAAATAGCTGGGATTACAGGCATGTGCCACCACGCCCACCTAATTTTTGTATTTTTAGTAGAGATGGGGTTTCTCCATGTTGGTCAGGCTGGTCTCAAACTCCCGACCTCAGGTGATCTGCCCGCCTCGGCCTCCCAAAGTGTTGGGATTACAAGCGTGAGCCACCGCGCCTGGCCAGAATGTGCTCTTTTCCTTCAGCCTAAGTATTCCGCACATTTGGGAGCCCTGTCCAAAGGGCTGCCACGGCACCACGGTGGCTGCTTCTGTGGAGCAGCTGCTGAGGCATCCTACTTCTCCTTTGGGTCTTTTGAGGTCCACCCTTTGTTTGTGTCTTTGGTCAGTGCTGACCATGCAGAAGCCACGTCAGAGAGAGCCTGGCTACCCCGAGGGGTGGTGCTGGCTTGTGACCACCACACTCTTAAGGGTTATCCTCAGCTTTCTAGGACCTGAAGCATAATGTTGTCCACTCACCCAGAACTCTTCCAGCTGCGCAGCTTTTGCTAACAAAACTTTTCAGGGAAGGATCATCAGCCTGCATGTCAAGAGCTGCGTATCTTCCCAGGGACTGGGGAACCCATGTTCCCAGCACCAGTGCTGCTTAGTGAGGGGGGAGTCAGAATAGAGGGAGCTGAACCCCAGGACCACAGCTGCCCCTCGAAACCATGAAGTCCTCAGGAGGCTTGCTGAATTGAAGCTGCCATACCCCATGCAGACGGCCTCCATCTGTTGCCAAAGCTCTTTCAGACAGGTTCAAATACAGTTAATTCAGCTACACCTTTCCCTAGATTAACTGTAGAGTTAACTATATGAAATTGCCATATTTGTGGGTCAAAAACAGTCCAATATTACAACTTCATGTAGTTCCACCTAGTAGTTTTCTTTTAAAACTTTCTTTTTTTTATTTTTTTTTGAGATGGGTTATACTCTGTCACCCAGGCTAGGATGCCATGGCGAGATCAGGGCTCAATGTAGCCTCGACCTCCTAGGCTTAAGTGATCCTTCCACCTGAGCCTCACAAGGTGCTGGGATTACAAGCATGAGCCACTATGCTCAGCCGCTTTTAAAATTTTCTTTTTCTTTTTTTTTGAAACAGAGTCTCACTCTGTTGCCCAGGCTGGAGTGCAGTGGCACGATCTTGGCTCACTGCAACCTCTGTGTCCCAGGTTCAAGTGATTCTCATGTATCAGGCTCCCTAGCAGCTGGGATTACAGGCACACACCACCATGCCTGGCTAATTTCTGTATTTTTAGTAGACATGGGGTTTTGCCGTGTTGGCCAGGCTGATCTCGATCTCCTGACATCAACTGATCTGCCCACCTCAGCCTCCCAAAGTGCTGGGATTACACGCGTGAGCCACCATGCTCGGCTCTTTTTCAATTTTCAATTTTCAATTTTAAACTTCTAAAAAGCAAAAGGTTGCAAAAACAGTGTTAAGAGGTCCCATGCACTCATCACTCAGCTTCTGCAATGGTGACATCTTATGTAGTATTATATGCTGATCAAAACCAGGAAATTGGTATTGGCATCATACAGCTAATTAGTTTACAGATCTTGCAATGAACTGGTTTACAGGCTTTGCTTAGATTTTTACCAGCCTAATGGCTTTTGGGGGCTACCTCCTAGTGACTTCCACACTGACACTAAACAATCTTTTACAGTCTATTTATTTTACAGATAACAGATCACTTATTTTGTTTTTAAGTTTTTGCAAATATTATGTTCTCAAGATAAAAATTCAAATGATATAATTTTGTATAAAATAGAACACGAGAGCTTCCCTCCTCTCTTTTCTCTCTCTCTGTAGAAGTAGCTACCATTGGAAAGCTGATGTAAATCTATCTTTGCTTTTTCCTATGGATACACACACACAAATACATATGCAATTTCTTTTACAAAAACAATCATATTTTATAAACGTTCTCTTAATATGTTATGAACAAATTAATTGCAATAGTACCACGATTTTTGTTTATTACCATTTTCTTTTATTTGTTTCACTGAGTGAAAGATCAAGTTCTGAGAGTGATTTACTCTGCCCTGGCAAGTGAGTCTTGAGTGCTCTCCTTTAATCCGGCCTCCACGCTGCAGATGACAGTGTCTTCCTGGCAGGATATTCTGTCTCTTTGTCATTTCAGATTCCCAAATTGATTGCATCATTCTCCACCAGAGCCCGAATTTCTGCTATGACCTCTGCAGCTTCTGGGCTGCTCTGCTCCACTCCACTCACTCACTCTCTCCATCGCGGTCAGCCAGGTTTGCTGACCCATCTATGAGCTTCTTTGAAACTCAGCACATTTATGATTTAGGATTTCTCATCTGTCAGACCTGCATCTCTCCCAAGATTGTTTAACTTGGGACACGGTTATTAAATCTCTGTGGACTTCTGTTTTCTCATCCGTAAAAGGATCACCTACAGGGCTACAGGCTCTAGAGCAGGGGGAGGCACAGTTTTTCTGTAAAGGTCCAGGGAAGCAGGCCAGGTGCAGTGGCTCACACCTGTAATCCCAGTACTTTAGGAGGCCGAGGCAAGAGGATCACTTGAGACCAGGGGTTTGGGGCCAGCCTGGGTAATATAGTGAGATCCCATTTCTACTTAAAGAAAAAAAATTAAAAGGTCCAGGGAAGCAAACACTTTAGACTTTGCCAGCCATATGGTTTTTGTTGCAGCCAATCAGCTCTGTCATCGTGGTGCAAGAGTAGCCACACACGATAGGTAAATAAATAGACAGGGCCGCATTCCAACAAAACTTTACATGTGGACACTGAAATCTGAATTTCATATTGTTTTAACGCACCACAAATTCTTCTTCTTTTTCTCAACTGTTTAAAAATGTAAAGAATGTTTTTGACTCACAGGTGGTACAAAAACAAAGGTGGTGGGCAGGACTTAGCCCATGGGCTGTAATTTGCCAACCCCCTGGTCTAGGAGGAAGCACCTAGGCTTTGGGGTCAGATAAACTAGGATTTCAGTAGCTTTTGTTATCTATCTTTTGTCACCTGCTAACTGTGTGACCTTGAGCAGGTTATATAAGCCTCTTAAACTTCAGATCTGGAAGGGTTGCTATAAGCATTAGAGATAACCTATGTAAAGTCTGTGACACGCAGAGGGCACTCAGTAAGTGCGAGTTCCTTTTCCACGTGCTTGAGGATATTTCCAAGACTAGAATTCAGTAACCCAGAGCACAAAGTCCATTTCCATTGTAAAGCGTTTTGGGGTGAAGATGACTGAGAGGTGTGTTACACTGGTTTAAACATACTCTGCAGATTCTTTGGCTTAATTGCAAGTGTACACATGTGTGCATAGAGATTTTATGTTTACGCACAGATCCCATGCCCCTCCATGGCGACAGGGAGCAAGTGACCTCTCACAAGGGGTCCTGAATTTTAGATTGTACAGGAGATGCCTCCAATTTAGTAATTTCTTACTCTTTTATAACTTTATAGCAATTTGTGGCATGCTTCTTAAATCAAGAAGTTTCAACAAAATAAAAAAAATCAATATGCATTATATATTCTATAAAAGAGACACTTCAGTAACTCAAAAAGTCTATGTTCTTCAAGTGCCCCGCCACAAAGGGTTATAGCCCTTGGATGAAGCATCTTTCTAGTCCTCTTCTGAACTTACCCACTTTCCTGTTCAGACAGGCCCCATGCTGGGACATTTCAACCCACTGTAGAATTTAAAGTGACTTACATGTTGTCGTAGTCCATTTTGTGCGGCTATAACAGAATGCCTGAGACTCAGTAATTTATAAAGAAGAGACATTTATTTCTCAGTTCTGGAGGCTGGGAAGTCCAAGATCAAGGCTCCAGCATCTGGCAAGGGCTGCTCTCTGCTGCCAAGATGGCACTTGCTGTGTCCTCTGGAGGAGAGGGACCTGTGTCCTCACATAGCAGAAGAGCAGGAAGGAATGAACCCACTACTGAAAGCCCATTTTGAAAGGGAACTAATTCATTCATGAGGGCAGAGCCCTTGTGACCTGAAGATCTCTTCAGAGGCTCCACCTCCCAACACTGCTGCATTGGGGATTAAGTTTCCCACGTATGAATTTTGGGAAACACATTCATAACATAGCACATATATTATTTCATTCGACACCTAGAACTGGTTTTATTAGTATCTTTTTGTGTGATGGAACAGGCTCAGAGAGGTTAAAATGATTACCAACAGCACACAGCTGTAGGAGGAACTAGAATGCAGACCCTGGATTCCTGGTCTAGTCCTCTGGCCAATGTGTGGCCTTCTTCCAACACCACTTCTAAATATTATATTTGGTCCATTTCACCTCTTTATTATCTAGTTTTTGAAGATATGGTCTGTATCTTTTTTGTATTACATGAGAGATTCTAGACAGTTTTACCTAATGCAGTTTTCAACAAATACAGACACTCCTCTACTTACGATGAGGTTATGTCTGGATAAGCTCATCCTAAGTTGAAAATATTGTACCTTTTGTTTTGTTGTTTTCTGAGACAGGGTCTGGCTCTGTTGCCCAGGCTGGAGTGCAGTGGCATGATCTTGGCTCACTGCAGCCTCCACCTCCCAGGCTCAAGTGATACTCCCACCTCAGCCTCCTGAATAGCTGGCACTATAGGCATGCACCACCATACCTGGCTAAGTTTTATCTTTTTTTGTAGAGACAGGGTTTCACTATGTTGTCCAAACTGGTCTTAAACTCCTAAGCTCAAGTGACCTGCCTCAGCCTCCCGAAGTGCTGGGGTTACAGGCGTGAGCCAGTGTGGCCGGCGAAAATATTGAACCTTTGACTTATGGTATTTTCAATTTAGGATGGGGATATCAGACATATCCCCATATGCTGAGATGTGTAGAGAATACCTACTGCTTTTGCACCATTGTAAAGGAAAAAAAATCGTAAGTGGAACTGTTGCAAGTCAGGAACTGGCTGTAGTCATTTCTTCATTCACATATTCAGCAGCTGTGCTCAAGTCATTGCCCTTCAGTTAGTCATTTGTAAGCATTTGCTGGGTGCTTCTGTGAGCTCAGGGAAGAGATCACAAATGCTGTGGAGGATATGCAGGAGGTTTTCCAATGTAGCTGGTTTTCCAACATGAGGCAAGAGCCTCAGCCTTAGACAGACTCAGGCCCAGGTCTCAAAGCTGGTTAAACTCAGGTCTAAAGTTCCTTAATCTCTACAGGTCTTGTTTCCTCACCTGTAAAGTGGAGAAATGAATATCTACTTCATAATAATGTTGTAAGAACACAAGTGCTTGGTTTACAAACAGTGCTGATGAAATAGTAGCTATTATCAATCATAAGCAATGAATACCGTATTAGGCAGGATAGAGTAGGTTGCACGGGGTTCCCCAGCTCAGTGTCTTACCACGTTATCCCTCATATATTGATGCCCTACGACCATTGTGGATGCGCTGAGGCTCCGCTCCAAGTCATCTTCCCTTGGGACTCATGCTGACTGAAAGGTTGTATCTGGAACACCAGAGAGAAGCTGAGGACAGAGAGAGCTTGGCAGAGCCCACACCGGCTGTTAGAGCCCAGGGTGACCTGCGTTACTTCTCCTCACCTTTCGTGGGCCAAAGCAAGTCACATGGCCAAGCCTGACAGGACTGGGAAGAGAAAATAGAATTCTCTCCTGGCAGAGGCAGTGAATATTTTGGAACACTGTTACAGTTTACCACAATATAATATATGCAAAATAACCTGTAGAGACTACCAGAAAGTGTGGTACAGAAGAGACATGCAAATATGGAATCAACAGTAACACTGAGTGGGCTTTTAGACTTAATTGCTTCCAGAACAAACAATTCTTTTTTTTTAATTAAACATTTTTTTTTGACTGGGCATGGTGGCTCATGCCTATAATCCCAGCACTTTGGGAGGCCGAGGGGGAGGATCCCTTGAGTCCAGGAGTTCAAGACCAGCATGGGCAAGATGGCGAGATCCCATCTCTATTTTTTTCTAATTAAATAATAATAATAATAATAATAAATAAATTCATTTTTTTGAGACAGAGTCTTGCCCTATCACCCAGGTGGGAGTGCAGTGGTTTGATCATAGGTCACTGCAGCCTCTAACTCCTGAGTTCAAGTGATCCTTCCACCTCAGGCTCCCAGGTAGCTGGGACTGCAGGCATGAAGCACCGTGCCCAGCTAAGTTTTTAACTTTTTTTCTAGAGATGGGGTCTCACTATGTTGCCCAAGCTTGTCTTGAACTCCTGGCCTCAAGCAATACCCCCACCTTGGCCTCCCAAAGTGTTGGGATTACAGGCGTTAGCCACCATGCCCAGCTGAGAACAAATGATTCTTTAAGAATTTTCTGAGAAAGGCTTGTCATGCTCACTCTCTTGTCAGGCTTATATAAAATCAAAGATTACTGTACATGCACTCCAACAGTTGTGAAATACAGAGTTCCAGGACAGCCAAGCTTCTGTTTATCTTCCTCAAGGCTTTCTGAGGCAATCATCAATCAAGTTAAATAACTTCTTGTCATTCAACCTAGGTTTTTAAAATGCATTTGGAGAAATCAATAGCATTTTGGAGACTCATTAATTTGAATGTGAGGGCACACACACACACACACACACACACAGACACACACACACAGTTGTCAATCTTTTGGATCCTGTATCAGTCAGGTCTTTTAGTTACAAACAACAGAATCCATGCTAGGAAAAAAAAAAATCTAGTAATAGCAACTAAGTAGCTCAGAAAATTTCCAGGAGAGCTTTGTTCTTAAAAACAATAGCTGAACTACATTGATCACATTGCCAGATTGTTCCAGTAGAATACTGACTGCTGCCAACACTGGGTGTGAGGCATTGCTGTGAGAACCTCTGCCAAGTTACCCTTGAAAGGTAGACATCTCCCTTCCTTGTGCTCTGCCACCTTGCCAGAATGGATCCTGGGTGACTTCCTCTGTTTTTGAAAAAACATCTCTTTTATTATTTTTTTTATTATTTTTTTTGAGATTGACTCTCGCTCTGTCGCCCGAGCTGGAGTGCCTTGGCACAATCTCGCCTCACTGCAACCTCCGCCTCCCGGGTTCAAGTGATTCTCCTATCTCGCCCTCCTGAGTAGCTGGGACTACAGGTGTGTGCCACCACACCCGGCTGATTTTTTTTAATTTTTAGTAGAGACGGGGTTTTACCGTGTTAGCCAGGATGGTCTCAATCTCCTGACCTTGTGATCTGCCCGCCTCGGCCTCCCAAAGTGCTGGGATTACAGGCGTGAGCCACTGCGCCCGGCTCTTTTATTTTTAAAAATAATCTTCTCCAGGTCAAAATCACATGCATTCACCACCTTAACCAAGTGATCAAATTTAGCATCTCCAAAATGAGAAAATTTGATATAGCATGTGTCATAATGTGATCCATTATGACATACGCAGCATCACCTGTGACATTCTTTTATCAGAAGGCACTAATATCTGGTGGACTTTATTTTTTTGATGATAGCAGCTATGGATAATCATTGCCTAGACCCATTAATTCCTTGGAAGTTACAAAATGGTGATATTGTAATTGTGCCATTTCTTTTAAAACAAAACCTTTTTATTTTATTTTATTTTATTTTTTTTAGAGACAGGGTCTTGCTGTCACCCATGCTAGAGCACAGTGGTGCAATCATAGCTTACTGTAGCCTCAATATTTTGGGCTCAAGAGATCTTTCCACCTCAGCCTTCTGAGTAGCTGAAACTACAGGTGAGTGCCACCATGCCTGGCTAATTAAAATTTTTTTTTTAGTAGAGATGAGGTCTTGCTATGTGGCTCAGGTTGGTCTCAAACTCCTGAGCTCAAGCAATCCTTCTGCCTCAGCCTTCCAAAGTGCTGAGATTACAGGCATGAGCCACTGTGCCCAGCCTATTTAAATTTTTTTTTTTTTGGAAATTGGAATAGTTTAATAAGGACACTCTTCCCCTTAGCTATTTTTAATTACAGGTTGGTCAGGCTATAATAGAAAGGCAAGATAAATGTTTGGTTCTTTCCCTTTATTAGTTCTTAAATTCATGAAAATTGGTTCTCTAGCACCCTATCATCCTTTAAAGGTGGCCAATTCATTTTTTTAAAAAAGAAAATCAATATGACTTCATGCATTAAAACATATTTGAGCTTCAGTCAATTGTAGTTCTTTTTTCTTTCTTTCTTTCCTTTTTTTTTTTTTTTTTTCTTTTTTTGAGACAAGAGTCTTGCTCTGTCACCCAGGCTGGAGTATAGTGGCATGATCTCGGCTCACTACAACTTCCTCCTCCTAGGTTCAAGTGATTCTCCTGCCTCGGCCTCCCAAGTAGCTGGGATTACAGGCAAGCACCACCATGCCCGGCTACTTTTCTTATATTTTTAGTAGAGACAGCGTTTTGCCATGTTGGCCAGGCTGGTCTCGAACTCCTGACCTCAAGTGATCCACCTGCCTTCGCCTCCCAAAGTGCTGGAATTACAGGTGTGAGCCACCGTGCCCAGCCCCAGTTGTAGTTCATTTTTGAGGCTCAAATTGTTCTATCTTTTTCTAGTGGAAACCACTTTAATTTGGTTCTTGAGTTCTTTTGACATGACTTTTGTGGTCTTTATTTTTTGTTTGTTTGTTTTTTGAGATGGAGTCTCACTCTGTTGCCAGGCTGGAGTAAAGTGGCGCGATTTTGGCTCACTGCAACCTCTGCCTCTGGGTTCAAGTGATCCTCTTGCCTCAGCCTCCCAAGTAGCTGGGACTACAGGCCCGTGCCACCACGCCCAGCTAATTTTTTGTATTTTTAGTAGAGATGGGGTTTCACCATCTCAGCCAGGATGGTCTTGATCTCTTGACCTCATGGTCTGCTTGCCTCAGCTTCCCAAAGTGCTGGGATTACACGCGTGAGCCACCGTGCTTGGCCTGTGGTCTTTATTTTTAAGAATTATTTTTATTTAAAAAATATTTTTTAGAGACAGGGTCTTGCTCTGTCCCCAGGTTGGAGTGCAGTGGCATGGTCAGAGCTTACTGCATCCTTGACCTCCTGATCTCAAGGGATCTTCCCACCTCAGCCTCCCAAGTAGCTGGGACTACAGGCGTGTGTCACCATGCCCAGCTAATTTTTTTGTTTGTTTTGAGACAGGGTCTCACTCTGTCGCCCTGGCTGGAGTACAGTGGTGCGATCTCTGCTCACTGCAACCTCTGCCTCCCAGGTTCAAGCAATTCTCATGCCTCAGCCTCTCCAGTAGCTGGGACTACATGAGCACACCACCATTTCCAGCTAATTTTTGCATTTTTTAGCAGAGATGGAGTTTCAGCTTGTTGACCAGGTTGGTCTCGAACTCCTGACCTCAGGTGATCTGCCCACCTAATTTTTAATTTTTTTGTAGAGATGGTGTCTTACCATGTTGCTCAAGCTGATGTTGAACTCCTGGGCTGAAGCAATCCTCTTGCCTGGGCCTCCCACACTGCTGGGATTACAGGCATTAGCCACTGCACCCAGCTCTTGGTGGTCTTTAATGGTTTCCTCACTATCTGGTATGACAAGAAGTTTCAGGCTGATGGATCTGTATATGTGTATACGTACATGTGTATATGTGTGCATATATACACAATTATATCTATTTTAAGGTAAAAGATTAAACAACACATGCATTTATACTGGTATTTCCAATTCAGATCTAGATTAGGTGTTTAACTTTTGCCTTTTCTGTGTTAAATCTATGCATCTTTTCTTTTGTACTGAAAATCTTGGTCCTCAAAAATACATGGGGGCTGGGGGCAGTGGATCACCGCTGTAACCTCAGCACTTTGGGAGGCCAAGGAAGGCAGATCACTGAATGAGGTCAGGCATTTGAGACCAGCCTGGTAAAAATGGTGAAACCCTGTCTCTACCAAAGATATAAAAATTAGCTGGGCATGGTGCATGCTTGTATCCCAGCTACTTGGGAGGCTGAGGCAGGAGGATTGCTTGAACCCACAAGGCAGAGGTTGCAGTAAGCCAAGACTGAGCCACTGCACTCCAGCCTGGGTGACAGAGCAAGACTTTGTCTCAAAAAAAAAAAATTATATATATACAGGAGATTATATAATTAGAACATCCTATAGTTAATTACTCATTTACTTTATCTTGTAGTGAGCACACAATAGTCTCAGACTACCAATATGAATGCTACCACCATGAGTAGAATTACTGTGAGCAGTTAAATATTATTTCTTCACGTGGTCTCCCTATTTTCCCCATAGTCATACTACATCAATTTTGCCTGAGCATGTAGTCACTGCATGCTGTACTCTGTCCCCTTTATTTATTTATTTATTTATTTATTTATTTATTTATTTATTTATTTTATTTTTTGAGACGGAGTCTCACTTTGTCACCCAGGCAGGAGTGTAGTGGTGTGATCTTGGCTCACTGCAGCCTCCACCTCCTGGGTTCAAGCGATTCTCCTGCTTCAGCTTCCCAAGTAACTGGGACTACAGGCGTGTGCCACCACACCTGGCTAATTTTTGTATTTTTAGTAGAGACGGGGTTTCTCCACGTTGGTTAGGCTGGTCTCGAACTCCCAACCTCAGGTGATCTGCCCACCTCGGCCTCCCAAAGTGCTGGGATTACAGGCGTGAGCCACCACGCCTGGCCTCATATCCTATTTATTTTTCTTTATCTTTGACTTTGTGTGTGTGTGTGTGTTTGTGTGAGATAGGGCTTGCTCTGTCACCCAGGCTGGAGTGCAGTGGCATGAACACGTCTCATTGCAGCCAACCTCCTGGGCTCAAGTGATCCTCCTGCCCTAGCCTCCTCATGCAGTTGGGACCACAGGCACATGCTACCATGTCTGGCTAATTTTTAAATTATTTTGTAGAGATGGGGTTTCCCCATGTTGCCCAGGCTGGTCTCAAACCCCTGGACTGCAGTGATCCTCTCATTTTGGTCTCCCCAAATGCTGGGATTACAGGCATGAGCCACTGCACTCAGCCTTATTTTGATTTTTAAAATGTCTTTTTATTTCCTATTTCCTTTAAGGCATTATTGACTGTATTTATTCATTCTAGTTTTTCTTCATTTTTGAAATGATGTTATCTTTGATATACAATTAACTTACCGAGTTGTATCACCTCATTTCTAAGTTTTTCCTAGTTTTAATTTATGTTGTTCTTTTATGTCTTATAGCCTTTAAAAATGTATTTCAGTTTTTTTTTTCAACTAGAAAGTGATATTTTTGATATTTTCTTTGGGCATGTCTTTTAGTAGATTTTCATTATCTATATAGATGTTTTTCAGCTTCTTATTCTTTTTTTTCTTATAATAACTTCGGATGGGATTTGATCTTTTTTTTCTGCTTACTTTTAAAATTAAGGCTAGGTTCGGTGGCTCACGCCTGTAATCCCAGCATTTTGGGAGGCCAGGAGTTCGAGGCCAGACTGGCCAACATGGTGAAACCCAACTCTACTAAAAATACAAATATTAGCCGGGTGAGGTGGCGGGCACCTGTAATCCCAGCTACTCGGGAGGCTGAGGCAGGAGAATCGCTTGAACCTGGGAGGTGGAGGTTGCAGTGAGCTGAGATTGTGCCACTGCACTCCAGCCTGGGCAACAGAGTGGGACTCTGTCTCAAAGAAAAAAAAAAAAGAAAATAAATAAATAAATAAATAAAATTAAGTCTCTTGACCTTTTAGAAGGAGGCATGGTTAAGAGTACTCTTTCTAATTTTATCTCCTGCCGAGCATGGTGGCAGGCACCTGTAATCCCAGGTACTCTGGAGGCTAAGGTGGAAGGATTAAGGCCCAGGAGTTCAAGACCAGCCTGGGCAATGCAGTGAGACTCTGCCTCAATTAAAAAAAACAAATTAGACTGGGAGCAGTGGCTCATGCCTGCAATCCCAGCACTCTGGGAGGCCGATATGAGAGGATCTCTTGAGCCCAGGAGTCTGAGGTTGCAATGAGCTATAATTGTACCACTTCACTCTAGCCTGGGTGACACAGTGAGACCCAGTCTCTAGAGAAAAAAAATTAATTAAAAGAAATTTTATCTTTGGCTCTTTTCTTTTTTTTTTTTTTTTCCTGAGGAGTCTCGCTTTGTTGCCCAGGCTGGAGTACAGTGGCACGATCTCGGCTCACTTCAACCTCACCTCCGGGTTCAGGCAATTCTCCTGCCTCAGCCTCCCGAGTAGCTGAGATTACAGGCATCCACCACTGCGCCCGACTAATTTTTGTATTTTTAGTAGAGACAGTGTTTTGCCGTGTTGGCCAGGCTGGTTTTGAACTCCCAACCTTGTGATCTGCCCTCCTTGGCCTCCCAAAGTGCTGGGATTACAGGCATGGGCCACCGCGCCCGGCCTTTCGGCTATTTTCATGCAGCAATTAAAAATATGTTAGTTTCGTTTCTCAAGATTTCCTGACTCTCTTCTTTCTCACTTTTAACTGGACTCTTTCCTCTGTCCCTGCCTACCTTTTTAAAAAAAATTCCACTCCCAGAAGTGTCTCAGTGGGGGGGTTCTGTTCTGAAAGGGAGCCTGACTTGCTGGTTTCTAGAATTCACAGGAGCTGGATTTCTGCAGACCCATTGATCCTTACTGAAAGCCTCTTATACTCACCTACTCGGCGAAAGCCCTTCCAGTTCAGCTGCTGTTCGCAGATGGCCTCACTGAGCTCTCTGTTAAATACCATGGCTACTTTCAGGTTCTCCAATTTTCAGACCCACTGGAACACCCTTTTGTGTTGCTCTGCTTCCTCCCACAGAGACGATGCAGCTTATGTGACTACTGGTGCTGTATCCTCATGAGCTTGTATTTTGGGGTCTGTGGGGAAAATGTTGTGACCTAATTTTGTTGTAATTGTCCATGGTAACTTGGTTTTGCTTTCTAGTTGCTTTATCTGTTTCGTTTGTTTGTGGGAATTCAGAGAGATTAACAAACTGTGCCCCTGCCTCCATCGTCTCCACATTTCTCTCTCTATATTATTCCTGTTTGGAACTTTTTGTAACACAACTGGAAAAATAAGGCATGCAGGTGTATCTGATTGGTTGAGGTTAAAACGCATGTTTTTGCCGTAGTTGCAGAGGAAGGAGGCTGGCTTCCACCTTGGGAAAGTGGGGCTCATAGATTTGGAAGTGCCCTAACGTGGAAGGATATTGAAAATGCAAGGCATATATCCACTATGGATCTATCTGCCCAGGCTTGGTTTTTGCACACATAAGCCAGGTTGATGCCTTTGCAGTGTCATTTGAAGGGCCTCAAAGTTTCCAACTGCCTAAAATATTTGTCCTAATAACTTCCCAGAGATGAGAGACAATAGAGTGACTCCTAGGATAAAGATATTGTCTATTAAAGATTCCACATTTCATTTTATTAATGAAATTATGATATTTAGGAGGTTAGGTTGGTTTATCTCATCAGAGGACTGGGAAACCAGTTAAATGTTCATCTCATAAACTGGCCTTTGTGACAACTGGTTTTTGGATTGACTTGAGCCTCATAAATTAGCTATGTGTATACACAGAACTTTTGACTCTAGAGATTAACAGAAGCACCTTGAGTTGACTCTTGCACCGTACACATCTTGAATATTTCTATGGACTGAGGACAAACCAGGCTGCCTCTCTTAGGACCCTGCATATTGTAGTTCTGGTCATCTTCCTTGCTTGTGCTAGTACTGCAGTTCAATTGATTTTGACCCTTCCTTGGCGTATCCCAACATGTTTAGCTTCCCCACTGGCCTGCCACAGGAGTCCTAACATGCTTTGGATAAACTCTTACAGCTTATCAATCAAGACTTTTAGGAAAATACATTTAAGATCTGTATTTATCTGCCAGTTAACTAAAGCACACAAGGTTTCTTCAATCCTTTCATCACAATGGCCTAAGTTGCACAGGGATTCAATAAGCATCCTAGGGATGAAATCAACAAGTTTTCGATGTACAACATCTATCTAATCCCTTTCAGTAAATGGACCACTCATTTCTGCACCAGCCAAGGTTTCCTGGTAGAACATGTTATTTATAGCACCACATACATGTGCCTCCCAGTACCATGTGGGCAATGCAACATGATGAAAGCAAGTTCATTCCTGGGGGAGAGAGGCTTCCTTTAACATTGCCTTGTTTCCTGTTTTGCTGCTATATTTACAAAAAGTGTCCAAAGCATGTCATTTTATGAGTGCCTAGTCTGAAAATGTTTTTCACCAAGACAAGCCAGGATTACCACTGACTGTCTTCTAAGGAGCTGTTGCTTCCCTGCAGTGGAGATCACTATTGCTTCTGAGAGCAGATGGAGCTGAGCAGTGGATGCAAAATCCTACCAGCTATTGAGCTCCTACTATATGAGTCAGGTTCATTGTATACACATGCTTATCATTTAATTCTCCCTAGAACATCACGAAACAAGTACTGTTAGCTTCACTTTACAGGGGAGCACTTTAAAGCCTGGAGAAATGAAACTGTCTGAGCTCACAAACCTGGCAAGTGACAGAAGCGAAATTCAAATCCAGCTCTGCCTGATTCCTAAGTCCAGGCTCTAAATGGCTACATGACCCTGGGCCTCAGAGCTGAAAGGCAGGGCCAGCTTCATGGGCAATGCCCTGGTTCCTGCACTTAGAACATCTCGGTGTTTGGTTTAAGGCTGTACTATCACAGTCTTGAAATTCTTTTTCGTTGTTGTTGAGACGGGGTTTCATCATGTTGCCCAGGCTGGTCTCAAACTCCTGGGCTCAAGCGATCTGCCCGCTTCAGCCTCCTAAAGTGCTGGAATTACAATGTGAGCCACCGTGTCCCTGGCCACCTTTTTTTTTTTTTTTGGAGGAGGCTTTGCATTTTTATTGTACAGTGAGCCCCAGAAATGATGCAGCGCTAACCAAACCACTGACGTTTGCACTTACCAAATGCCCGTGGCTCTTTCTATGGTGGTGCTGACTGTATTCAACCTCCCAGACCTCAAGAGCCAGGCTGAGCAGCTCTGCTACATGATGAGGGGTGTTTCCTGAGCAGGAGGAAGATGACTATAGGGGCAAGAAGGAGGTTGGAAGGAATTCCTGTAGGTGCTAGCTTCACCCTGCTCCTGGCCTACACCTCTTTCTCTCCAGCTATCCTTCCTTTCCCCCCAACTCTGCTTGCCCTCACCATACTGGAGTATATAAGGTGTGGAGTAAGAATTCTGGAATTGGGACCCAGTTCTCCTGGTTCCTGAGCCCACGCTCTCCTCACTAAGGATGCCTATGGACAGAGAGGTATGCTTCAGACTTCTGAATGTCTTAGCAATGTTGAATTAGCCCAGATTCACACCCCCTACATGCAATAGTTTGTGTTCTGCCTGGACTCCTTTGCGCTTGGAAGGATGTCTAGTCCAGAACTCTATTCTGAACTCCAGACATTTATTTCTGGAAACCAACTGGACAAATGTTCCTGGAAGTTTTGCAGGCACCTCAGGCACATTGTCCCCTCTCTGGCAACTTGGCTGTGATCTCGGTTAAAGGATGACCTCTGGGCCAAATGCCTCAGCCGAGTGTCTTAAAGTTGTCTTAGCTCTTTCCTGTCTCTTATTTTCAACATCACCAAATCTCACTGAATCCTATGGACTTCTTCTTCTTTTTGTTTTCCTGGAAAAGCCGGATCCCTTAGACTACTGCCTTTGTGTGTCCCTTGGCCATGTCTTTTGGCTTCTACGGCTGTGGAACTGGTCTCTTTGCCCTACAGTCTCTTCTTCCAGGCCATGCTCCACCCCACTGCAGAGTGAGCCATTGATAAGACAATCCTGACCATTCACTGTCTTGCTCAAAACCTCTATAAAATCTCCATGGGCTCCCTGTTTGCCACAGGACAAAGTCCAAACGCCATCTGGCCACATTCTGCCTTCTCAGCTTCATCTCCTTTTGTTTCCCGACTGTACTGGGCGCATCAACGTTTCCCAATACAAGTACCCTTGAAGCCTCTCTGCGCGTGTGCTGTTTCAGCCTGGAATCCGTCATGTTGCCATGCCCCATCCGCTTAGTTATATATGCATTCTCCAAGGCTCAGCTCCAACATTGTCAGTGCCTGGACATTTTCCCAGACTCCCACCCACCCACCTCCCGACCTCTTCTTACTCATTGCCCTCATTGCTTGTCACACTATCCTGTAAGCATTGGGTCAAGGGTCTATCTGTCCGCAGTTGGATCATGGTTCTTGACGTTTGTATTCCCAGTGACTAGCACGATGCCAGGCACACAGAGGGGTGAATGATGTGTGTGTGTAACATTTGGAATGACTATAGAGTTCTTAAAAGTTATTTTGATGTTTGAATTTTCAAACAGATAATTGACACATGCAGTACTTTTAAATCAGAAAAAAATGCTGTCAGTAGATGCATTTCAAAATGTTATATATATGTGTGTGTATATATATACACATATATGTGCGTGTATATATATATACATATATGTGTGTATGTATATATATACAGAGCCAGACCCTATTTCAAAAAAATATATTTTATTATATATATAAATAATAATATTATATATATAAAATATATAAATATATATATATTTTTGAGATAGGATCTGGCTCTGTATCCCAGGCTGGAGTGTTAACAGTGTAATCTTGGCTCACTGCAACCTTGCCTCCCTGGCTCAAGCGATCCTCCCACCCTCAGCCTCCCGAGTTGCTGGGACTACAGATGTGCACCACCACACCTGGCTAATTTTTGTATTATTTGTAGAGACAGGGTTTCGCCATGTTGCCCAGCCTGATCTCAGACTCTTGTGCTCAAGTGATTAGCCCACCTGGGCCTTCCAAACTGCTGGGATTATAGGCATGAGCCACTGTGCCCAGACAGCTAAACTGTTTTTAAATGGTGTGTAATTAATAGACAATAAAATGGTTGAGCACAGTGGCTCATGCCTATAATCTCAGCACTTTGGGAGGCTGAGGCTGGTGGATCACTTGAGACCAGGAGTTCGAGATCAGCCTGACCAAGACAGTGAAACTCCACCTCTACTAAAAGTACAAAAAAAAAAAAAAAAGCTGGACGTGGTGGTGCGTGCCTATGGTACCAGCAAGTCAGGAGGCTGAGGCAGGAGAATCACTTGAACCCGGGACGTGAAAATTGCAGCGATCTGAGATCACGCCACTGCACTCCAGCCTGGGTGACAGAGTGAGACTCCATCTCAAAAAACCAAAAAAACTAAATACCATAGACAATAAAATATACAGACCTCGTGTTTAGTTTGATATGTTTTGCAAATTGGCATGCACCTGTGTAACCACCACAAGCAAGACAGAATGCTTCTGTCATTTTATTTTATTTTGAGACAGGGTCTTGCTCTGTCACCCAGGTTGGAATGCAGTGGTGGGATCATAGCTCCCTACAATCTCCAGCTCTTGACCTCAAGGGATCCTCCCACCTTAGCCTCCCAAGGGGTTGAGACTACCGGTGTGCACCGCCATGCTCAGCTGCTTCTGCCATTTTAGAAATTCCTTGTGTGTTACCTTTCCAGTCAAATCCTTCATGCCCTCCAGAATGGCTCACTTTCTACTTTCTGCCATCACAAGTTAGTGTTGCCTGTTCTAGAATTTCATGCTAATGGAATTATACAGTATAAATTCTTTTACATCTGCCCCTTCCCCCTACATCACAACGTTTTTGAGATGGTTCTGCTTAGTAATGGTTTGTTCCTTTTTGCTGCTGAGTAGTTCATTGTATGAATGCACCACAGTTCATTCACCTATTCTCCCAGGATGAGTGGGTGTGTGGGTGAGTGAGGGAGGGATCTTGAACATCTATAAGGCATAAGCCATCCTGAAAACTTGGAGGATGGATCAATGAGAGCGGAACGGTCTGTCTGGCTCTGATCTTGGACCCTCGAGGTCTAGGTAAATAGGTCTATGGTAAATGGCCCCAGACGGATCTGTTCTTTCTTTTGTATTTGTTTTCTCCATTGACCGATGGTTAATACACCTTTCTTCTCAGAGTGACTGTGATGGCACTTCTTGTGCTAATATTTGGCGTCTGCGTTGCAATGGAAGACAGATCACAAAACGTCTTAGAATCATGATCTGAGTCATGGTCTAAGAGGGGGTCTTGTATGGGGACTGCAATGTGGGTTTGGGCTCCTCCGAGGCCTTTTCTTCCCTTCATATTGTGAGTTTCTCAGCTATGTTCCCATGGCTGAAATGGCTCCTGGATGGTACCCTCTAGGCAGTTTGGGTCTCTGAGCTCTGACTTCCTGCTGCTCTGAACACAGGCCTCCCATGCCTACCACCCGGCTCGCCTCTCTCTGCCTGCCCCAGCCTGCATACCCTCCATGCCCGGCCCATCCTCTTGCTTAGCATCTTCAGCACTGACCCCAGTCTCCTGCTTCTATATTGAAACTTGTTCATGTCCCTGAGCCCAACCTGGTGTTCCAGACCCTGACTTCAGCTTTGCCCTCATGACTCATGGCACAACCCTTCCTGGCATGGATACCTCTTCAAAGTGCAACTCTACACAGGGCCAAGGTGTGAGCACCGGAATTGGCCAGCCACACCTTGGCTCATCACACCTGCCCATTACCCCTCCTGATGTGGCAAAGTACTGGCTGTGCCCACTCACACAAAGGGAATCCCTTAACCCTCACAGGGGAGCTCTGAGGCTAGTGATAGTATCCCTGCTTTAGGACACATGCAGAAAAGAAGTGCAGAAAAATGACGTGACTTAACCAAGAAAAAGCCCCCGCCCCCAAAGGCCATGCACTCCACAATGCCTGACAAGTTCCCCATCATGGAACTGGGTGACTAACTGTCCCCATTTGCCTGGGACTCTGCCAGTTTTACCACCTGAAGTTCTGCATCCTGAGAAAACCCCTCCAATTCTGCACAAACTAGGATAGTTAACCTGAAACTTAAAGACAACTTTGAAAAACACAGCCCATTTTAATTAGAAGACCCTCTTGCATTTAGTTCACCCATTGAAACAATGATATTGTCATCTCGAAGTACATTTATTAACCCAAAGGAGGTAACTGTTTAAATAGTACAGCTTGTGTAGAGTATGCCTGTCCGTAGTATCCACCAGCTGCATATCTATTTGTCAGATCATCAGGGTTTGGACTAGGCTGGATTGAGAAGGGGTCAGGGCTCGCCTCCGCAGAGTCCAATAACTCATGTGTTCATGTCTGGAATTTAACACACTGTCGAATCACTACTGCTTTGGGCACTGTGTTCCTAGAACGTATGTAATACACAGTACTGCACTATGGGAGGGGCGTTTACTCCATCTCCCCATACTCAGGAAGTGCCAGCTTGCAGGATCTCTTTATTTTGGAAAATCTCCTAGAAGAAAGCCAAAACAAAAACAAGGAACGCTTTCCATTCTTCTTGCGCAGGAACGCATGCCCTGGGCGAGGGAGACGTGGCCTTCTGGCTTTCAGACTGCAGAGATTCGTAGCTCTTTGCTTCATGTTTTTTCAGCCTTGGGAGAAGGATGTTGCAATCTCACCAAGATTTAGGCTGTTATCAATAAAATGATTTCTTCTCCGCAGATATGTAAGGTTTGGGGAAGACTTATTTGTTACATTTTTATTATTTTATTTTATATTTTTTCTTTCTCGTTTTGTCTTTTCTAATTTTTTTTTTTAATTTTCTATTTTCTGGGGAAGACTTTTAAAAACAAATCTGGGCTGGGCATGGTGGCTTATGCCAGTAATTCCAGCACTTTGGGAGGCCAAGGCGGACGGATCACTTGAGCCCAGGGGTTTGAGACCAACCTGGGCAACATGGTGAAACTCTGCCTCTACAAAAAATACAAAAAATGAGTGAGGCATGGTGGTGGGCACCTGTAGTCCCAGCTACTTGGGAAGCTGAGGCAGGAGGATCGCTTGAGCCCAGGAGGTTGAGGCTGCAGTGAGCTGAGATCGCGCCACTGCATTCCAGCCTGGGCGACAGAGCAAGACTCCATCTCAAAACAAAACAAAAAACCCCAAACAAACAGAAAATCTGGAACTATTGTGGCAAGCAGAGAAAGTGCAGAACAGAATCAGACTTAGGTGCGAGCAGGGATGGCTGAGATCCATGAAACTGAACCACTCTCTAGGCAGAAAGGGATTTGTTTTCAAGCAAGTGGTAGACACATCTCGGAAGAGGGCAACTCATTGTGGGCTATGAGGCCTTGGGGGAGCAGAGGTCACCTAACTTCTGTACAGAAGGGAAGCTGTATATGAGAGAAGGCAAGAAGGCAGGGAAGTTTGGCATTGTGTACGCATGGGCACAGGTGCTTGTGTTTCTGACTCCCAAGGCCACCTGCTTTTCCTTCCAGTGGGGTCTCCCACTTTTGTACTCCCCCTGGTGAAGTGTCACGCAAGTACTAAGTACATTGTATATGATTCTACTGGAACCAGTGACTTTTTTATTTTTGTGAAGGATCTTGGAGTCCCACAGACCTGGATTTGATTTCTTGCTCTGCTACTTAACAGTTTCGTATCCCTGGTGAGTTGTGGAATCCCCTGGCCCTTGGATTCCTCCTCTGTATAATGGGGCAACACGTGCTTGTCTATCTCCAGATGTGTTGCAAGGATAATAAATGAAATATGAGAGTGCTTTGAAAACTATAAACTGCAAGGTAAATAGTGCAGCAAGTTGTTATGGATTGGACTGGATTTCCCCAAAGTTCCTATGCAGAAGCTCCAGCCCCCAGTGTGACTATATTTGGAGACGGGCTTTAAAAAAGATAATTATGATTAAATGAGATAAGAAGGATGGGGCCCTAATCGGACAGAATTGGTGTCTTTATAAGAAGAGGAAGACACCAGTGATCTCTCTGGGCGCAATCACAGGGGAAAGGCCACGTGAAGATGCGGTGAGAAGACAGCTGTCTGCAGGCCAGGAAGAGAGGCCTCACCAGGAACCAGCCCTGCTGGCACCTTGGTCTTGGACCTCTAGCCTCCAAATTGTGACAAAATAAATTTCTGCTGTTTAAGTCACCCAGCCTGTGGTCTTCTGTTCTGGCAGCCCTAGCAGACTGATAAACAAGTTAGCTAACAATTACAAGTTACATAGCAATTTAAAGCTTGCAGAATACTTCCTTTGTGCAACTTCTTTTAAAAATTGTTATGTTTTGTTAAAGGGGTAACAAAATACTGTCAGGTAGCATGTAAAAATCTGTTTTCTTTTTAAAAAATCGAAAACAAATTTTTTTGTAGAGACTGGAAGTGGTGCGGGGCGTGTGCCGGGGGTCAGGGCAGCAATTGTCACTATGTTGCCCAGGCTGGTCTCAAACTCCTGGGCTCAAGTGATCCTCCTGCCTTGGCCTCCCAAAGTGTTGGGATTACAGCCATGAGCTACCACACCTGGATGAAATCTATTTTAATTAAGTGCATACATTTCTTGCATCATGAAGTGTTATTGAGAAGTGCTATAAAGCAGGTGGAAATGTTTGACAATTAAGTAGTGAAGCTGAAAGTGCAGTACAATAGGTATTCCTTGGGAGAAGCTCCTTGTGCTGTTTACCCTAAATCTCCTGCTCTGTGCTTCCCTGCATGTTGCTAGTACTTCTGGAGCTGATATAATTTTTTTTCCAGCTACAGTGTGCAATGCCGCTTCAAGACAAGAGGCTACAATTTTGTGGACGGACTTCCAGAAACACGAATTCCTCCTTCCACGCCCTAATCCTGATTTCTTGGATTAGTGAATCACAGACACAGTCATTGTGCTCTGGTACCAGCTTGTTGGTCCCAGCTGTTTACACGAATTTACCTTTCCTCCCTTCCTCTTTGTGCTCTACTGACACTTTTCCTTTTGCACATAAGCTCCTTCCTCTCCCTCACAGTTTTAGTAAGAACCATGGGCAGCTGGAGGTGAGGGACCATCTCCTGTCCCCATACTTCAGAAGGGCCTGGGAAAGGTAGGAAGAAAGTGTCACCTTTGTCCTACCAGTGAGATACACTAGGTACTTAGGCACTTTGGCTTATATCAGCACTGTTGGAGTTATGAGTTCAGTCTTGGAAAATGAGGTCTCTTCAGGCCCTTTCTTTCTCCTTTATGAAATGTGTTAAACTTGTCCGGCCGGGGTAAATTCCCATCCTCCAAAGCCTTTGAGTATCTCCCTGTTGCCTATGAGGGTGACGGTTTTTAAGGTCTGGGTAGGAAGGATCAGTGCCTGGGTGGCCCCAGGCATTAAGGGTTTGGAGGGTTGGATTATCCTCAGGGCAGGCTCTGCTTTTCTTTTCCTTTATTATAGTAAAACATACATAAAATTTACCATTTCAACTATTCTTCCAACTCAGTGGCATTAAATGCATTCATGTTGTCCTGCTACTATCACCACCATTCATCTCTAGGACTTTTTCATCTTCCCAAACTGAAACTCTGTCCCCATTAAACAATTGCTTCCCATTTTTCCCTCCCTCCAGCCCCGGGCAACCACCATTCTATTTTCTGTCTCTAGGAATTTGATGATCGTAGGTGCCTCGTACGAGTGGAAGGACATTTGTCCTTCTGTGTCTGGCTTATTTCACTGCGTATAATGTCTTTGAGGCGCATGCATGCTGTAGCATGGGTCAGAATGGCCTTCCTTGTTAAGGCTGAATCATATTCCACGGTGTGGATAGACTACATTTTCTTCATCCACTCACCCGCCGATGGACACCTGGGTGGGGTCCATCTTTTGGCTATTGCCAATAGTGCTGCTATGAACACGGGTGTACAAGCATCTGTTCAAGTCTCTGCTTTCAATTCCCCCGGGCGTACACCCAGAGGAGAATTGCTGAGTCCTGTGGTCATTCTCTGTTTAACTTTTTGAGAAACCCTCAAACTGGTTTCCACAGAGGCTGGGCCATTTTACATTCTCACCAACCATGATAGGCACCTTTTTAATATGTGTGGTAATTTATTGGGCACCTTCAGCTGCTCGATTAAAGCTATAGGGAAACAACAGGAACACCGTGTAAAATGTGCAATGGCCATATATAACAGGTTACGTGCCAAACAAAAATCTCTTTTCTTCAAGTTTTCTCACCAAACAGCTTTAGGTTTAGGATTCATTTTGAACTTTTTTTTTTTTTTTTTTTTAAGACAGGGTCTCACTCTGTTGCTGCTCAGGCTGGAGTGCAGTGGCACAGTCATGGCTCAGTGCAGTCTCAACTTCCTGGGCCCAAGTGATCCTCCCACCTCAGCCTCCTGAGTAGCTGAGACTATAGGCGTGCAGCACCATACCCAGCTAATTTTTGTGTATATACATTTTTCTTTTCTTTTCTTTCTTTTTTTTTTTAGAGAATGGGTTTCACTCTGTTGCCCAGACTGGTCTCAAACTCTGGGCTCAAGAGATCCTCCTGCCTCAGACTCCCAAAATGTGGGGATTACAGGAGTGAGTCACTGTGCCCACTTTGAACTCTAATACATAGAAATATTTGACCAAACAGAAACCAAACTCTCCCTGCTCTATTGAAAGTGATCTTGTAACAAATAAATTCCTTGGACCAGACTTGTGGCTTTCTGTGCAAATGTGACATAGCAGTTATATATTCAATAACAAAGTTAATTTCCTCACTTATTCCAAATGTTTGTTGAACTTATTAGGAAAAATTATTCCTTAATCTAAGTTTTTACCCTTTGCTTTGCTTTGAAATCAAATAAGTATATACTTATTATGCAAGTTAAAATTCTTATAACAAACTGTGCAGGCATCTGGAAGGTGGTATGTAAAGGTGCTCAGTAAGTGTCTGAAAATGGAACAGATTCTTTTTTTTTGAGACAGAATCTTACTCTGTCACCCAGGCTGGAGTACAGTGGCGTGATCTCGGCTCACTGTGACCACTGCCTCCCAGGTTCAAGCAATTCTCCTGCCTCAGCCTCCTGAGTGGCTGGGATTACAGGCACACACCACCACGCCCAGCTCATTTTTTTGTAGTTTTAGTAGAGACAGAGTTTTGCGATGTTAGCCAGGCTGGTCTTGAACTCCTGAGCTCAAGCCATCTGCCCGCCTCGGCCTCCCAAAGTGCTAGGATTAATAAGCATGAGCCACCTCTCCTGCCTAGGAACAGATTCTTTCTGATTAGGTTTTGGAACCAGTGGTACATCACCTCCTCTCTTCCCCTAAAGTTCTGGGGTAGAAGAAAGGGAGAATTTAGTTCCATGTGGCTGTTTTAGAGAGGTTTTTAAAGCGTGGCTGATGTTGTGCTTGCCAGTGACAAGCAGAACACTTTTTAAAAATAGATTGATTGATGGAGACAGAGTCTTGCTCTGTTGCCCAGGCTGGAGTGCAGTGACACGATCACGGCTCACTGCAGCTTTAGACTCCTGGGCTCAATGGATCCTCTTACCTCAGCCTCCTGAGTAGCTGGGACTACAGGTGCACACGACCACCCCCAGCTAATTTTTTGCAGAGTTGGGATTTTACTGTGTTGCCTAGGCTGGTCTCAAACTTCTGGACTCAGGTGATCCACCCACCTCAGCCTCCCAAATTGTTGGGATTACAGGCATGAGCCACCGCACCCAGTCAGAACGATTGTTTTTGAAGTGACCCTCTGCTTGTTTTTGAAGTGACCCTCTGCTTGGCTCCACGTGATTCTGTCACACGGCACTGACTACGTTGTATTTATCAAGGGAAGCTGAGAGGCTTAAAATAAAAGCTGATGATGCACAAGAAAGCCCTGTGCCAACTGCAATGGGCTGTGAGCAGGTGCTGTATGTTTCTCTACTAGCAGAGGTGAAGCCAGAACAAGGCTCTTGTATAGGAGCTTCCTGTTCCTGACCCTTTACTGCCCTGGCCCTCCCATGGGAGAGAACGCCACTTCCGATGATAACTTTGGCTCCACTGGTGAATCTGTCTTCAGCCTGAGGTTTCTTATTTGTCTCTTTGATAATGGTACTTAAGAAGCTACCAAGGAGGTTAGGCCCAGTCTAATTTGGGGACTAAAAGATAAGGGTTGAGGATTCTTTTGCAACTCTTTATCTACTACTATGGAACTTGGTCTCACATCAAAAAAAAAAAAAAGAAACTGGAACTAGAGGAGACTAAAATAGGTTGTGTTCCAGGATTATATGGAGCAACCTAATTTGGACTGGAAACCGTGGAGAGAAAGTTCATGACCTTGACCTGCAGAACTGTAGGCACTTCCCCTTTGGTCAATAGGCACCAACTTTGCACCATATCACATTAGGGCCATCATCCAGGAAAGATTTTTAAGTTCAAGAACTTCTAGGTAACTCTCCTGTACTTTGTATTTCAGCATCTTCTTCTTATACTCACTGGCTATGGAGACATGAATTGTGCCAAGTGGGAGGGTAGTTCCTCCTAGGGTTCTTTTTTTTTTTTTTTGAGACAGAGTCTCGCTCTGTCATCCAGGCTGGAGTGCAGTGGTGTGATCTTGGCTCACTGCAAGCTCTGCCTCCCGGGTTCAAGGGATGCTCCTGCCTCAGTCTCCCGAGTAGCTGGGATTACATGCACCCGCCATCACGCCCGGCTGATTTTTGTATTTTTAGTAGAGACGGGGTTTCATCATGTTGGCCAGGCTGGTCTCGAACTGCTGACTTTGGGTGATCTGCTCCCCTCTGCCTCCCAAAGTGCTGGGATTACAGGCATGAGACACCGCATCCGGCCTCTCCTAGGGTTCTGAGGGCTTTTTCTTTTATACAGTCTTCCCAAGAACGTGTTCTTCTGACTGACGTTCCTGTCTCCATTTCCTCACTTTTCTCAAGGCAGCACATGCACTGAGCACGGATATGTATTTTTTGTAGTTGGCTAAGAGCAATAGTTGATATTTGAAATACTCTTTTGACCTTGATATACTGACTCACCAGCTAGTTTTAATGTGTAAGCTGAAGTGAAAAACAATCGTGTCTAAAATCTATGTTCTTTGGGATACTTAGCACATGGCAGTCTTCATATATTAAATGTCACTAGTGATTATACGTTGCTTGTCACTCGTGATAGTGTAAATAAGAGAGTGTGAATCTTGGTGGGTAGACGTTATTCTCAGGTGCATTGTATAATTACTTCTGGCCTTGAACAGACGCAGTTATTTTTTTCTTTGCATGTCAGTCACTGAGACCTTACGAGGTGTTATGTTCCGTGTCATAAAGAGATTAAGAAGACGTGGCCGGGCGCAGTGGCTCACGCCTGTAATCCGAACACTTTGGGAGGCTGAGGCAGGTGGATCATGAGGTCAAGAGATTGAGACCATCCTGGCCAACACGGTGAAACCCCGTCTCTACTAAAAATACAAAAAATTAGCTGGGCGTGGTGGCGGGGGCCTGTAGTCCCAGCTGCTCGGGAGACTGAGGCAGGAGAATGGCGTGAACCCGGGAGGCGGAGCTTGCAGTGAGCCGAGATCGCACCACTGCACCCCAGCCTGGGCGACAGAGCAAGACTCTGTCTCAAAAAAAGAAAAAAAAAAGACACATTTCTTGCCCTCAAGGAACTTAGGAAAGGGCCTGAGAAGAAAACAGTCATGTCAATGTGATCATTGCTGCAAGAGAGTTTTGGACCTGAAGCAGGAAGTCTGCTGCTCTTGGTTTCACGGAGGAGAAGAAAACTTTTGAATAGCCGGGTTGGGGAGAGTTAAGCTGAATCTGGACCAGGGTTCTCCACCTCAGCACTATTGACATTCTGGGCTGGATAATTCTCTGCGGTGGGGGGCTGCCCTGTGCACTGCAGGATGTTTAGCAACATCCCGGGCCTCTACTCACTAGATGCTGGTGATAGCAACCCTGCATTCTCCAGGTCGTGTTCATGAAAAAAGTCTCCAGGCATTGCTGGGAGACAAAATTGGCCCTGATGGAGAATCACTGGGTCACCAGGGAAATCAGAGGGGACCACATCATGGTCAGGCATGGAGGGAGGAGAGAGCACGGTCCATTCCAATACTCTCAAGTGGATCAAAACTGAGTGGAACTTGGTGTACCTGGAGGCTGGAAGGTAGCTGGGCCTGACCTTGAAAGTCTCATCTGCAGATCCCAAATGAACTATGTGGGTGCAGGGGCAGCAACAGGAAATAGCACTTTCACATCAACTCAGAGCGTTCTCGGGGGGCCTTCCAATGGGTGTCATTAATAATATGCACCATCTGGCAGCTTCCTATTTGAACTAATTAGTCTTGCTAAGTACATGCTAAGCTTTTAAAATCGTTATTTTAAAATGCTGTGCACACTATAGTTCGGTGCCTTGGGGCAAAGCCCAGGTCTCTCAGTTTATGGCCACCCTTTGAAGAGAGGGTTTCACGTGCGTTCACCGCTGAAGGGTTTAGTAGAAGATTGTTTTTGTTTGTTTGTTTGTTTGGTGTTATTGTTGTTTGCAGACAGGGTCTTGCTCTGTTTCTCAGGCTGGAGTGCAGTGACATGATCATGGCTCACTGCAGCCTCAGACTCCTGGGCTCAAACAATCCTCCTGCCTGAGCCTCCTGAGTAGCTGGGACTACAGGTGTATGCCACTGTGCCCAGATAGTTTTTTATTTTTTGGTAGAGATGGGGTCTTGCTATGTTGGTCGTGAACTCCTGGTCTTAAAAGATCCTTCTGCCTTGGCCTCCCAAAGTGTTAGGGTTATGGGCATGAGGCACCATGTCTGTCCAAGTAGAAGACTGTTTTAGCAAGACTGACCTGTTATGAAAAGTCAGAGGGTACCAAGACCAGAGTCTGGGCAACCTGAGAGAAGGCAACAGAAATAATGAGTACTTGAGACTAAGACAACATGCGCCTGGGGTGGACAGGAGGGCTGGCTTGTGAGTCAATTAGAGGGTATGGCGGGCTGGGCTTGGACACGGGACATCAGGAGGAGGAGACTAGGATGAACCCAGGTTGTCTGTGTGGGCCTCTCCCTTTGGTAGGTGCATAGCAATGGGAGATAGGAGGGTAGCCAAAGCAGGCACAGCAGAGAGAAAAAAGACGGTAAGTTAGAGTCTCTAGTTGGGATGGAGGGAAGTTACCTCACAGACCACTGGAGTCTGGCATTGAGGAGAAAGGGCCAGACTGGAGATAAAGGTTTATGAGTCATCCTGTCGAGGTAGTAGTTGAAGCTGTGGGTGAGATTGCCCAGGGGGAGTGTGGAGAAAGAGAGTCAGGAGGCTGGGATGCAGTTGGGAGAGTAGCAGCTGTTTTCCATTCTGATTCAAAGCCTCTTTAGTAAGTTCTTTGTCTCACCATCCCTTTCCAAACCCACAGCCCACAATGATTACTCTTCTTTATTATTTTTTAAATTAAAAAGATTTTTTTTCTTTTAGAGAGATGGAATCTCTCCATGTCCTGGGCTCAAGTGATCCTCCCACCTTGGCCTCCCAAAGTGCCAGGATTGCAAGTGACAGCCACTGCTCCTGGCCTGCCCTGTCTTCTATGCAAACCCCCAACCCGCTTTTAAAAATCTAAGCTGCTCGCTTTCCATCTAAACAATGACCATATTGGAGAGGCCTTGGGTCCAACAACTCTGTATTTCTGTTACCTTTTCTGTGTTTTGCTCTTGTCTTTTGAACTCCCCTGGAAGCTCACAAAGGCTTGGGTTGCATTTTTGTATCCTGTACCCCCTTACCCCAAGTCAGCTACACCTAGTAACAGTCTCCCCTTTGGATGTTTTGATGGCCCATGCTAGAGGATCCTTAAAGATTCTAGGTCCGGTTGAACATTTTGGCTAGACGACAAAGTTCAAGTCCCCTTGGAAGAGCCCTATGCCTGTCTCCCTGATGCCAGCAACTGGAGCTCAGGGGTGACTCTGAATATCAACATTTCCTAGGTCCGCTTGGTGAATCCTAAACCCTGATTCCACGAGCAGCCTGAAAGCAGAAAAATCTCCTTGACTTTACCTCTGAAAACACTGCTTGGAAGAAGGGTGGTTTATTTCACTAAAAATAAGCTAGATGTTGAAGCAGTGTGTTGGAAAATAAAACGCCAAGCTCATTGTTTATTTTGGAAAAAAATGTTAAAATTCTGTTAATGCAGTTGTAATTGGTGATCAATACAGAAAGGCTGGTTAGAGGCCTTCATGAGTGAGGCTACTGGAAGAACAGCTCAGAGGTGTTGTAAAATGTTTTCACTCGTGCTGGGGTTATCTGCCAGGAAAGGTGCAGCTTATCACCAGGGATGTTTTTACCAGGCCGCTTCTGAACTTTAACCCACTGTCGAAACCAGGGTCGTGCGAGGGAGCCACAGCTTCTGGGCCCCCAGCACAGCTAACCCAGACTGCAGGCCTGATGTCAGCCACGTGATGTCACCTGCAGCTGGGGCATGGGCTGGCGAGGGATGCTGCGGCCCCGTGGGTTAGTTCTGGTGCTTAAGTCAGGGCGTCACAGCAATGGGAAAGGGTGATGCCAGGGAGAAGCCAGTGTAGTCCAGAGAGAGCTCGGCTTCTCCACCTGTGGCTTTCCTCTGCTCCAGGGGGACATGTAGACATCATTTGGAACGGAAAGTGGGCTGAGCAGCCACACCATTTGTTTCCCCATCCGTGTATTCTGAGGTTGCGTGCTCTTCAGTTTTTGCCCAGAGTGCTGGGCCCTGGACGATTTTGCTTCTTGCCCGAGTGCTGGTTTAATAACGGTGTGAATCAGAGGGGCGATGAGCCAGCGCCCACAGCGCAGAGCATCCAGGCATGTTGCAGCGGCGCAGAAGCGATGTGAGTTCCAGCTCCCGAAAGCCAGGGCTTTATTTCAGGGCTGTGGCCGAGGGCTAGATTGACTGTGGCCGGTGCCTGGCATCCTCCCTTCTGCCCAGGGGTGGTTCTCGCCTTCCTCCCTGAACTACCCTGAGCCGATTTCACCTTCCTCCAGTACCCCTTGCTCAGGGGTGGGAGTGGCTTTATTTGAACTCATTGAGGTTTCTAACACTCTTGGGAACATCACAGTAGAGAGGATGGCTGCACGCGTGCCAACATACCCATGCCTGTCTCAGCATCTCCCAGTCTCTTAGATTCAAAGGCATCCCCGAGAAGCAGGGCAAGCTTCCATTCAGGATAATGAGATTTAAGTTTGTTGGTCCTACTGTCTCTTGTGTTTGTAATTGTACATCACGTTTTCATTTGGTTTTGATGAGAGGCACACAGGGGGCAGGAAGAAGGGAGCCCAGTATCCCCATCCTCACCTAGAGACCTTTCAACCTGAAAGCCCCAGGTGCTGTTTGGACAGAGGGTGAGGGTGGAGTGAGTGGCAGATTGACCTGGGGACTTGGCCTTTGGAATCCTCACGCTCTCTTTGGAGGTCCTGAGCATCCTGCAGGGTAGCATTAAGCCCTTCCTCGTTTGTGCCAGTGCGCTTTTTGTAAATCTTCATGCCACGACATCCCAACCTCCCCTTGCGTGTTAGTTGGTGTGATTGGGTAAAAGCGGATCAATCCTTTAGAGATGTAAAAGGCAGAGGGGACAGTGGGAAGCCATCTCATGGAAGCTTTTTGTGAAGCTGCTCAGAATTCCTTCTCCCTCCATTGCTAACAGCCCCTCCAGCCTCCCTCCTCCAATGGAGACATTGAAAACAGCAACTTCCCCTTCCTTGCCCTAATCAGGGGTCTCCTCCTGTTAGCCCGTAGGACATAGGAGGCGCCTGCTGGCTGCTGCTGCTGGGAGCTGTGGAAACATGTGGCTGCCACGTAGGCTGTGAGTCAGCATCCCACCTTCCACAGGGGCCTTGGGAACCTGAAGGTGCTCAGTGCTCGTTAATATTAACCATCCCAGGCAGGCCCAGGGCAAATCCAGGAAGAGAGGCGTGGCAGCCTCAGGGCAGGGCGGTGGGTGGAGACGCCAGAAGCCAGGTGTCCTCTTGGCTCTTCAAGTCACCTGGCTTATTCCCTCCTGAAAATGCATTCTCTCTTTCCCTGTTTGGGTGAACGGCTGCTGGCAGGGCCACGGAAGGGAGGGGCCAGAGATGAAGAAAGGCTTTGCAGTCAGAGCCGAGTTAGGGTTATGGTCCACTGTAAGATCTTGGAAAAGATATTCTCTGTTTTTTTGAGACAGAGTCTCGCTCTGTCGCCCAGGCTGGAGTGCAGAGGCGTGATCTCTGCTCACTGCAGTCTCCGCCTCCGGGTTTCAAGCGATTCTCCTGCCTCAGCCTCCCGAGTAGCTGGGACTGCAGGTGCCCACCACCACACCCGGCTAATTTTTGTATTTTTGGTAGAGACAGGGTTTTACTATATGTTGGCCAGGCTGGTCTCAAACTCCTGGCCTCTAGTGATCCACCTGTCTCGGCCTCCCAAGGCGCTGGGGTTACAGGTGTGAGCCACCACACATCTGGCTGGAAAAGTTACCCTCTAAGCCTTAGTTTCCTTATTTTGAGGAACGGTCATCATGATGTGTACATTTTAGGCTTATGAGTGTTTCCCTGAGATAAAATGAGCACCGGTTGGTGTGAGAAGCAGCGATGATCTTTCTTTTTTCTGAATGGCTGTTTCTCTTGTCTCTTCCCCCAAGATCTGCCTTTCCTGCCCTTTCGACTAATAAGGGAAGAACTTCTCAAACAATTCGGCTATGTAACCTGGAGATGGGACTTTATGCATCATAGTGACAACTGGCTTCTGCTTCCCTGGGTGTGGTAGTTAGTGGAGAAGGGGAGGGTGCCCTGAGGGAGGGAGGACTCTGCAGAGGAATGGGCAGCCAAGAGTTGGTTCACCTGTACAAGAAATCTCCTTGGTGATCCTGAATCCATTCATGAGTCCAGGATGTCTCGGTGGTGGAACAACATCAGGCCTCTGAAATAGGGAAAGGTGAGTTCAGCACGATTGTGAAGGGGCACTCCAGCCTTGGGGATTTGGGCGAAGGGGACATGGGGTCAGGCTGTGCAGCATTCACCTCCTGTCCTTGGAGCCTTATCACCCAGTAGATAACCAGCTGCTTGCCCAGATGACTCACAAGGGTGCTTTAACTTCTGGGATTGTTCAGGGCCAGCTCCTTGGAAATTGAGGAAAACAAGCAAACATTGGAAGATTTGTTTGTTTATTTGAAAAATATTTACTGTGCACCTATTACGTGATGGCCACTTTCTAAGTCACAGAAGGTGCAGAGCCCTGAGCCACATGGACAAGGTCCCAGCTTTCATGCAGCTGAAATCCTCCAGTGAAGGAGGACAAGAAATAAGACATCTAAATAAATAAGCAAGACAACTCAGCTTGCAGTAAGTGCTGTGATAAGGAACTAGGCAGTGGCTCTCAAATTTGAGTGTGTATCAGAATTCCCTAGAGCCCTTGATAAAAACACTGATGGCCGGGCCCCACCCCAGTATTTCTGATTCAGTGTGTCGGAGTGGGGCCTGAGAATCTGCATTTCTCATAAGTTCTTAGATGATGCTGATGCTGCTGGTCCTTGGACCACCTTTGAGAACCACAGACTTGGGTAATGGTACAAGGGGTTGGGTGGGGTGGAGCCTAGTTTAGAAACAGCTCAGAAAGATAAAGTCAAAGGCCTGTGGACTGCGTTCCTTTTTAGTTTAGAAGGCAGAAGGGATGGAGGTGCTGTGTTTTTTGTAGTTCTTTTGTGGAAAGGACAGCTGCAAACAAAACAAAAACCTCTGTCTCACTTCTTACTCTACGTTTATTCCTATTCAGATCAGCTTCTGAGGCCGGGAGTGGTAGCTCATGCCTGTAATCCCAGCACTTTGAGAGGCTGAGGCAGGAGGATCTCTTGAGTCCAGGAGTTTAAGACCAGACTGGGCAACATAGGGAGACCCTGTCTCTGCAAAAAATAAAAAACAAATGAGCTGGGCATGGTGGCACACACATGTGGTCTCAGCTACTTGGGAGGCTGAGGCAGGAGGACTGCTTGAGTCTATGAGTTGGAGGCTGCAGCGAGCCATGATCTCACCACTGCACTTCAGCCAGGTGACAGAGAGAGAGAACCTTTCTCCAAGAAAAAAAAAAAAAAAAAAACACAGAAAAAATCCTGAAACAGATGAACTTCTGGAATCTCATTTCTTTGGGGAGCCTAAAGCCAGCAGGCACGATGCTTGCTTGTAATACAGAGTATTCTCATCTATTTGTTGATTCTCACAAAGCAGGAGTTTAAAGGCCAAGTCTGGATCTAAACATTTCAGAGACACCACTGACAGCACAGAGAAGGACATTCTCATTCTAGTGAGAATCAGCTTCAGGGCTCATGTTGGGTAGCTGTTTTTATAAAAGTCTATCTATATGTGAAATAAAGATAAGAAATCATTATGGATTGATAGATGACAATTTGTCTGAAGGCAGAGGGCATAAGTTTATCTTTCTATCCTGTGTCCAGCAGCAGGCCTGCTGTAATGGTAAACCATAGATGTTTATTAATTTCATGTATTCACTTGCTCATTTATCCACAACCTGATGCTATGCAGGGTGCTAGAGATACAATGGCTAAGAGGACAGACCCAGCTCCCACCCTCATGGAGTTTATGGTTTAAATAGAGGAGGCAGACAAGTTACCAGGTAATTACATGTGGAGGGTCATTTTGTGTCCTATGATAGGAGGAATACAGGGTGATAAAGAAACACATAACTGAGAGAGGCCAGGAGGGATTCCTGGAAGAAGTGACCTCTAAGATGGGGAGAAGCTGGGTGTGTAAGGAGTGGTGTAGACGAGGGTACCAAGAAGTCAGTTTTCTGGATGGAGACACGAATGTGCAAAGACCCAGAGGTGAGAGAGAGCACAGAACATTCCCTGGCTAGTATTAGTTCAAGATGCCTGAGGCCAAGAACTGAGGCAGGAACCTGAAGGGCCTTGTAGGAATGAACGAGCAATGAATTTTAAGGGATGTTGAGAAAACGTCTTAGGATTTTGCTGTTTGGTTGCTGTTTACACTGAGAGTAAAGGTTCTGACTTATGCCCAGAATGGGAATCAATCTCACACCCAGGTTGAGGAAACTTGCTAGGGTGATGATTGGATTCTGTTTTGAGTTGGCTCTGTTTGCAGGTCCTGGTTCCCAGATTTGCCCTTCCTCCCACCTGTTGAGCTAGGATGTCTGGGCGAACCAGTTTTGATAGAGGAAGAGGCTTGTTCAACTCTTCGCCATCAAAGAGTATTCTTGGAACCAAAGTGACAACTTTATTACAATGTGGTTTGGAGAAAGATCGTGTCCAAAATGGTTGTTGAAAGGTTCAAATATAATTTTTGTGATGCTGGCCCCCAAGAGGCACAGGTAGTTTGCTGTGTGCTCTGCAGGCCTGACATCAAGGCCCTGACTAATGGCTCTATGACCCTGGGCAAGTCAGTTAGGTGGGTTTTGGCATCTCACTTTTTATACTTACAAAATGGGGATAGTCTAGGAACATTCTGAGAATGTGTACAGAAATGAGATGGTGGCTGTAAAAACACTAGGCTCCTGGAGGAAATGTTCAGACCTCCAGGATGTTGATTGTTAAAGGCGTTTAGTCATTGGTGTGGCAATGGCCAGGACTCTCTGTGTGTGTATTTAATGATTAGCTATTTAGCCTAGAATCTGTGTCTAGTTTATTTCCATAAAAATACATTGTACTTGCTTTTAGATAGACTGTCTTCTCTTTTGTTGGTATAGAGAACAGTATGTTCAGAAACTTCAGGGTAATGAAATTTCCCAAACAAGAGTGGGTCCAACCAACTTTTTCTTCTTTTAGTTAATTTTTAATGTACTTGGGAAGGCTACGCATTTTTAACTAAAAATTAGTACTGTGTATGAGAAGTGTCTATCATCTCGAAAACTCTTTGAATCCTTTTATTTTCCTTTTTTTTTGAGATGAAGTCTTGCTCTGTCACCCAGGCTGGAGTGCAGTGATGTGATCTCGGCTCACTGCAACCTCCTGGGTTAAAGTGATTCTCCTGTCTTAGCCTCCTGAGTAGCTGGGATTACAGGCATGCACCACCAGGCCCAGCTAATTTTTGTATTTTTTAGTAGAGGTTTAGTAGAGGGGTTTCACCATGTTGGCCAGGCTGGTCTCGAACTCCTGACCTCAGGTGATCCTCCTGCCTTGGCCTCCTAAAAGTGCTAGGATTATAGGCATGAGCCACCGTGCCCGGCCTCATCTTCCATCTTGAAATGCATGTTCTTATGAGGAGTGAGGTTTTCTTATACCCCCTATGCTTTCTTTATTGGGCAGTGTCCCTTTTGAGGAGTGCAGGTCTTGCTTCAACTTGAAGAAGACAGAATTGCTTCCTCTGTCTTGATGAGCTTGTTTTCTGCCCAGGCTTCCTCACACTACAGCTGGTCTGAATTTTTTTCCCCTTCTATGGTGCCTTTTTTGACCTCAAGAAATACTGAAGTTCAGACTGAAGTTACCTGTAGTGGAAATACCTGGACTTTTCCGATTGTTTGGGATGTTTCTCAGGCTGGCTCCCATGTGTGCCTTGCAGCCCTGAAAGATACTCTCAGCTCAGAGAGACAGCCTTGTTACAGGGTTTCTCTTTCTGTATGCTGGATTTCCTTCCGATTTCTCGCTACCATTTTGAAGAATGGCACGGAAGGTAGAGAGACAACCACCTTCAAATGTGATCTCTGTGCCCAACGCAAGAAAGATGGAAGCTACTCATTCGAAGTGGCAGATGCCAAATGCAAATTATAGTTCTTGGCTGAGAGAAGAGTTAACCTTAACTGGTTTTTTTTTTTTTTTTGATCCTAAAGTCCAATGGGCAGATTTCCTAAAGGAAAGCTAAGTGCCTTTAATCTATCTTTGGATGAAGCATATTCAACAAACTCTCCTGTAGAAAGGCCTTTAGTTTGTATTCGATTTTTTAAAAGTACACAGAGTGGTGCAACATATATGAATACTCTGCAGTATAAGGTTTATAGATTCAGATGAAAGGGTACCTAAACTTTTACATGCTTGTGGACAATGTGAAATTGTCCCTAAGGAGTCTGTGCTGAGTCACACTCCTGTTTCCCCACATCCTTGCCAACGGTTGACATTATCATTCTTTTACATTTTTACCAATTCAATGGAGAAAAAACGGCATCTCATTTTAATTTTTTTGATTGCTAGTGAGGTTAAGCATCTTTTTATATATTTATCAGCCATTTGTGTTTTTTCTTTGCAATGTATATATTTACTATTTGTATTTTTAAAATTGGTTTGTTTAATCTTTAATATGTACTGATTGTAATTATTCATTATCTTTTTTTTTCATCATATACTTGACTCCTGTGAACTATGCTTTGGAAGTAAATGATGAAGGAGGAATGAAGAATAATGCAGTAAGGAAGACCATAGCATTTTGGGGTAGAAAGAAGGTTGTGGAGATAATTTTGTGCAAATGCCTTATTTTATGGATGAGAAACTAAAGCTTTGAGAGGCAAAAGATGTCTCATAGCTGGCTAGCAGCAGTTCTGAAAGTTGGTTCTAGTGCAGGCATTTTTTTCTCTGATGCTATTCCTCATGAAAGTGTTTATGGGGAGTGTCACTGGTTATTCTTTTCTGGGTACTGTGTCTTCTTCATCAGTATAACAGCTAGCAATGTACATCTGTCTGCAAGGGGAAGAGGGAAGCTTTCCCAGTCACATGGGAATGGCCCTTGAGGTCTGTTACTGGGCATAAAGTGAAGTACCATTTCTTAGACATATTAAGTGAGTGAAAATCAGTAGGTTTTGCAGGAAAAGGGGTATCGTATGTTGATGAAAGAAAGAGATTTTCTTTTTTCTTTCTTTTTTTTTTTTTTTGAGATGGAGTCTTTGCTCTGTGACCCAGAGCTGGAGTGCGGTGGTGCAGTCTCGGCTCACTGCAACCTCTGCCTTCTGGGTTCAAGTAATTCTCCTGCCTCAGCCTCCCGAGTAGCTGGGATTACAGGCGCCCACTACTATGCCTGGCTAATGTTTGTATTTTTAGTAGAGAGGGGGTTTTACCATGTTTGCCAGGCTGGTCTTAAACTCCTGACCTCAAGTGATCCACCCTCCTTGGCCTCCCAAAGTGCTGGGATTACAGATGTGAGCCACCACGCCCAGCTCGGATTCTTATTTTTAAAAAGGGGAGGGGGCTGCTAATTGGCTCACTGCTCACTTGTGAAGCTTACAGCGGCTGTACATTTTCTGTTTTCCAATCCTTTCAGAATTGACAGCAAAGTATCAGTAGATATCAACTAATTCAGAAATCTCTTCTTCTTCTTCTTTTTTTTTTTTTTTTGAGATGGAGTTTCACTCTGTGCAATGACGTCATCTTGGCTTACCACAACCTCTGCCTCCCGAGTTCAAGCGATTCTCCTGCCTCAGCCTCCAGAGTAGCTGGGATTACAGGCATGCACCACCACGCCCGACTAATTTTGCATTTTTAGCAGAGATGGGGTTTCTCCATGTTGGTCAGGCTGGTCTTGAACTCCCGACCTCAGGTGATCTGCCTGCCTTGACCTCCCAAAGTGCTGGGATTACAGGCATGAGCCACGGTGCCCGGCCCAGAAATCCCTTTTTATAATACTTAAAAAAACACTCCACATGATCTAAGGATGTGCTTTCAGATATGCAAAGTATTTGGCTTGCAAAGAAGATTGAGTGTGAACCTTCTTTGGGAGGAAAAAATATGTGATGTGAATTCATTGGTCAAATTAAAACAAAATTGTGTGGTGTGTGTGTAAAAGGAATTAAAAAAAAAAAAAGCAGAAATGGTGGGGTGAAGAGGCCGTCTTCAAGTCAGGTTAGAGACCAAAGCAGAGGGGTGCCCAGGTTCAGGAGCTGAGCACACAGATAACGTGCTTTCTCAGAGCTGGAAGCAAAGGTGGGCTTGTTACAGGCAGAGAGACGCTGGCGATGTTTCTCTGCTGCACACAGGGTGGGAAGTAGAAGTGCATGAGTTATCTTGGTGCTCACACAATATCAGAAGGAAGGGAGGTGAGATGGGAGAGGACAGGAATGTCCCTGGGCCTGTCAGCTGTACTGGCCAGTGTGGCCTGAGGCTGAGCTTCCCACACACAGTGGACAGGAATTTGGAAAAGTGGAAGAGAGTTATTATCTAAATTGGGTCTGCAGTGCTGGGGCTGGAGATTTTCCCGAATTCATAGCAGTTTCCAGATCCACAATCTAATTTCCTTAAATCATGTGGCCACTAGAACTATTCCAGAATAATGTGTTTTACTGCGAGTGACCAACCATCTCCGTTTGCCAGAGACGCTGGTTTCCTGGGATGTGGGACTTTTGAGGTGAAAAGCAGGACAGTCCCAGGCAAGCCAGGATGGTTGGTCATCTTGTTTGGATAACTAAGATAATTTTAATAACCAAAATTAAAAACATCCAACATAAGTGTCAGAGCTAAAAGCTCAACAGACAAGAATCCATGAACTGGGCACAAGACTTTGAAATACAAGAGGAACATGGAAGTACAGGTTCATGCACAGGGCATGTTTCCCCGCAAATACATAGAAACTCATACAGAAGAAAACTGTCCCTTTATCTTCTCTACACAGCCTTAGTATTATTATTTCTTAATTTGCCAGCTGCCGGGACACGCTGAGCCATTTGGTGGACTACCACTATCCTGTGCCTGAGGCAACGTTGTCTACTCTGACTGTACATTAGAACTACTTGGAGAGTTATAAGAAAAAAAAGGGGGACAACCAGGCCCTCTTCTCCACCAAGTAAACCAGAATTCCCAAGGAAAGCAATATTCCCAAGCAGGGGATTCTTAAAAGCTGCAGAGGAGATTGGACTGTGTAGACTGGTTGAGAGGTACTGGTGCAAGCAGGAAAGGGATCCCAGAAGTCAACATCCAATAAATTAAATCAGGGTAGCCACACAGCCTGGCTTAGGCCTGTTGTTCTGACATACTACTTTTTTTTAAAATATTTTTTTTTCAAGAGATGGGATCTTACTTTGTTGCCCAGGCTGGTCTTGAACTCCTGGGCCCAAGCAATCCTCCCACCTCAGCATCCCAAAGTGCTGAGATTGCAGGCATGAGCCACCATGCCCAGCCTGACGTATTTCTTAATAGCACTTGTTTTTACTCTTAGAACTCTCCAAATTTGGCTAATACATTATATGATTATCCAACACATAAGACTCCCTTAGAATGACAGGGTGCGGTGGCTCACGCCTGTAGTCTCAGCACTTTGGGAGGTGGGAGGATCGCTTGAGCCCAGGAGTTTGAGACCAGGCTGGGCAACACCTCATCACTACCAAAATTAAAAAAAAAAAAAAATTAGCGGTGCACGGCGGTGCCTGTCTGTGGTCCCAGCTACTCCGGAGGCTGAGGTGGGAGGATCACTTGAGTCCGGGAAATCAAGGCTGCAGTGAGCTGATTGAGCTGCTGCACTCCAGCCTGGGCAACAGAGCAAGATACTGTCTCAGAAAAAGAGTAATTAAAAAAAGACTCTCTTAGAAAAATTTTTTTCTTTCCTGCGTTTATTTTTTGCCTCCATTTCATGGTGATGGGAATAATAAATTTTTTTTCTTAAATAAAAAAAACCCCACAAGTTTGAAATATAACTCACAGTAGAGCACACAAATCTTAAGTGTATAGTTGACCAAATTTAACATATATGTTTTCCAAGTAACCGCAAGGTATAAAACATTTCCAGCATCCCCAGAAACCCCCATGCCTCTTTCTGGTAAGTAGCCCTTCCTTCCCCTAACACACCAATTTTGGCTTCGTATGAATAGAATCAGACAATATATAGTCTTTTGTCTCCGGCTTCTGTCACTCGACATTTTGTCTGTGAAATTCATCTCTGTAGCAGCATGTATGTGAAGTTTGATCTTTTTCATGGCTGTGTAGTATTCCATCACATAATTATACCATACCTTATTTACCCATCTGTTGTGGATAGACATTTGGCTGTTTCCATTTTTGGCAATTAGGAATATAGCAACTATAAACATTCTTATAAACAGTCTTTTGTTGCATATGTGCATGAGATTTTCTTGGGTCTCTCTAGCCCTTAGAAATTGTGAGCTCACTGGTTGTTTACCAACCACAGTCAGGCACGTTGGCTGGATGCCCTCAAGCTGTGGAAGGTCAGGTGGGCCTGGAAAAACCTGCTTTTGGCTTTAAGCACTGGAGAAAATCAGCATTCCATTCAGTGATCACTGGAGGGTCTGAGGATGTCCAAGAGATTCCAGGTAGGGGATGGGTGGATTCCAGTCAAACGTAGTAATTGTGGAGGGAGTGTCCTGGAGGAGTTTGAGGCAATGCTTCAGAATCACTGGCAGGTGTATTTGCAACCTTTTATTATGGGAAATTGCAAATGTACATAAAACAGTGTAGTAGAGGGAATAGCATAATACATCTTTATGTACCCATCACAGCTTCAACAGTTGCCAAATATGGACAGTCTTTCTCTCAGTTCCACCTCCTTCCCCCACCCCTTGATTATTTCTGAAGCAAATTTCAGGCATCCTATCATTTTATCCATAACGATTTCAGTACCTATCTCTCAAAGATAAGGGCTCAAAAAAGCCCACAAAGCAATTTCATTATGATGCCTAAAAATAATTTGTAGCAATTCTTTATTATTATTAAAAGTCCAGCCATTGTTTATATTTTCTCAGTTATAAGATGCTGATGAATAGTGGTAAGACAGTTTGCTGGTTGGAATTGGGATCCAAATAAGGTTTTTATAGTGGGATTGGTTGATTTGTTCAAGTCTTAATCCATAGGAGCCTCTTCATTACCTCTTTCTTGCAATTTTTCAGTTTTTGGCTGTTTTTGAAGAAACTAGGTCACTTTTCCTGTAGAGTCTTCCACAGCCTTACTTGTGCTGATGATAATCTCAAGGTATTATCATGTTGCTCTGTATTACCATGTTGATCTGCCCCTGTATTTCTGTACCTTTAAGTTGATGGCGAGACTTGATCAGATCTGAGTTTGGTTTATTTTGACACTTGCCCCTCCACCCCAGAAGCAGTCTTTCCTGTCTGACCTTTACTCCCACCCCATTCCCTCTGGCTCACTTTGTTCAGCCCCTCTGGCCTGGAACGTTCTAGGCTTGCTCCTTCTCTAGGGCGGTTGCATGGCTGTCTCCTGTTTCTAGCCTCGTCAAGTCTTTGCTCAAGTTTTCTTTTCTGGGCAAGGCCTGTCATGGCCACCTACTGAACACCTGTAACCTCAGAGCAGCACTCCTGATCCTTGAACTGTGCCTGACACATGATAAGTGCTCAATGCATGCACTCGGTGAATTACTGAAGGGGAGGACTCTTCCTCCAGCTGCTACTCGACCTGTGATGACAATGACAATAACGGCAAGCATTTATTGAATTCCTGTTCTGTGCCAGACATGCTATGTGCTAAATGTTTCATTTATGCCATCATTGCAACAACATAGGGTAGGTCCTGTTATTATTACCTCCTTCTATAAACAAGTGCAGTGGGTATGGAGGTGTGCAGCCCAGAGCCTCCAGCAGTCGGCCTCTTCTATGCAGTGTACACCCTGGGCTGTCTACATCGATGACTGATCCAGGCAAGGGGATAAAGCCTTGGCCATTCTGGCCAATAGGGGACAATTTCAGGGTTGTCACATAGGCCCCAGAGTTTTCCATTGGGTTGGCTGAGGCTTGGTCCCTCTGCCCAGCTGTGATTCTTCCACCTCTTTTCTGTAAACGTTGATTTCTAATAAATATCCTGCAAACCAAACTCCATCTCAGTGTCTTTCTCCTGGAACCCCCAACTTGGGACACCAAGGAAAATAAAGTTTAGAGAGTGAGATAACCTTCCCAAATTCCTTCTAAGTAGGTGGCAGGGCAGGGACTTTACTGAGCTGTGGTCTCTTTGATGTGATGTGCTGTTTCTGGAAGCATCATGCTTCCCCAAACCCTGAATGTGGGAAGGGACTGTCAGCACTGTGGTTCAGCTCTATTCTGGGCTTAAGCTACTTTTGTGATACAGGCTGTCAGCAGTTAACATGTTTCTAGAGGATTCTGGGTTCTTGGTCACAAATGGCTAACTTACATTGAAATTAGGAGGACAAGTTGTAGATTTCCTGTCCTGTAACCAGGATAAGGTGCAGAGAGGAGCTCCAAAGTGTGATGCCTTAAAGAGAGAGCAGTGTTGGGTGGGGATGCAGGGATGGGAAGAGGCCGGGCTGAGACAAGGGGTGGTTGGATGTTAGGCAGGAAGAGTCCCCTCTATGGACAGCCTGGAAAGCTAGCAGAAGACTCAGTCTGTTGAGCAATCAGGAGCCTCAGAGCTTCTGAAGGAGGGAGTGATCTGATGGAAGGGCTGTCTTAGCAGGAGAAGCAGGTGCACGGAGCAGGCTGGAGGACTGGGGCCAGGGGTACAATTTAGGCCAGGAAAATAGGGAGCAGTGATGTGGGCCTGGACTGGGTGGAGGACATCAGAGATGGAGAGACAGGGACAAAGTAGAGACATCAAAGAAAAAACAACATGGCTCTGGAGCAGGGGACAAAAAAGGAGTCAATTAAAGACAAATTCCATGTCATTTATCTTGAAAGCATGTTTAGTTTTACTAGTAGTCTAAGAAATATAAATTAGCACAACCATTTAATTCCATTTTAGCCTATCAGAGTGACCTTCTCATTGTTTCAGTGAGAGTGTTCGGGTTTCTAAAGGGTTTGGAGAAATAGACACTGTCTCATTGTCCAGCAGGATCAGCACGTCTCTAGACAACCATTTCACAATTCTGATGCCAAACCTTAAAAACAGTGGCCTGTGATGTCAATTTCAGTAAAGTGAGCTGTTTGGGGATGAAAAAAAGAGGTGAAAGGGATCAATCATATTTTATAAGCCTGGAGTCCCCGCTTTCATCCCTGAAGCTTTCGGCATCCTCAGGGCCGTAAACCTTGCCTTATCTCCTAGCCCCACAGAAGGATCCCTTCTGGGTTCCCAAAACACTGGTTACCTGCATTCTCTTCTATTTTTTTTTTTTTTAATCACAGGCATCACTTTATAATCTGTTTGTTTGGCTCTCTCTGGACTTTGGGCTCTCCAAGGTCAAGGGCTGTGTCATGATGTGTGTTGTGTGTTTTTCTTTCTTTTTTTTTGAGACAGACTCTTGCTGTGTCACCCAGGCTGGAGTCAGTGACGTGATCTCGGCTCACTGCAACCTCCACTTCCTGGATTCAAGCGATTCTCCTGCCTCACCCTCCGGAGTAGCTGGGACTATAGGGATGCACCACCATGCCTAGCTAATTTTTGTATTTTTAGTAGAGATGGGGTTTCACCATATTGGCCAGGCTAATCTCGAACTTCTGATCTTGTGATCTGCCCGCCTTGGCCTCCCAAAGTGCTGGGATTACAGGCGTGAGCCACCGCGCCCAGCCCTCATGATGTGTGTTTCTCTAACTCTTAGCATGAAGTAGGCATTGATGACATATTTGATGAGTGAATGATGGGAGGATGGGCAACAATTTATTTTCAAGTCGGCTTCTAGAATTCAACACCACCAGCACGCCATAGGTGCGGATGTGTGAGGGTACAACACAGGGCCGCGACAGTCCCTACAACATTACGCCGTTTCAGCAAGGACTCTTAGAGCAAAAAGTTCCTGACTCCTTTCTTCAGTTACAGGGTCCAGCCCGTGGGGCTGTTCTCTGTGTTTCTTTGAGAAGTATGCATGTTCTCCTGGTCCTGTCTGCTTTCTGCTTCAGGCCCCGGAGGAACTCCCAGCTTTGCCACTGACAGAAAAAGATCCCTTCAGATCCCCAGTTCTTGGTGGGCAGGTGCTTCCCAGGTGGAACAGAGCCAACCCTTTCTTCTTCATTGGGCCTCCCTTGGCTTATGTGGGCTCCTCTTTGATCTATTGTCTTATGGATACTGGAGGTTTCTTGAAAAATCCTCCTTTGTTTACCCAATAGCAGTGAACTCCTCAAGTAAACCGCCTTTTACCAGTGTTCTCCCGCAGGCATTGAGCACAGGTAGTCTGAAGGCTGTGGTGCCGTTGCCTTGGAGAGGTGTTGGGAGAGGCCTTTTAACTTCCAGCAAGTAGGAGTCATACTGTGGCAGAAATGGGGGCCGAAAGCAGGGACCACTTGCTTGTGGAATTGGAGAGCAGAGGAAGTGAGGCAGGATGAGAGTTGGAAGGACAGAGAAGTGGATGTTTGGCATCGCAGTGGAGAGAGCTCTGTCCATGTGTGAGGTTTAAAATCCATATCAGGATTTTCTCCGAATTCTGGTCAAGTGAAAGTCACAGGACTGTTCTAGGAGCCAAAGGGAGAGGCAAGCCAGGGATGATGGGGTGAGGGGTGTTTGGTGATGCAGTGGGGAGGGCGGTGAGTAGAGAGTGGAGAGGTACAGGTGTGGAGAGGCAGAGGTGAGGCAAATGGTGTGGCGAGGAGCTCCCTGGGAGACGGTGGAACTGAAGAGTGGAACCATAGTGGAGTTGGCTTATAGGCGCTTTCACCCTGGACCCACATGAGAATGATCTAGGGAATTAAAAAATAGCCGAATGTGGGCCAGGCGCAGTGGCTCACGCCTGTAATACCAGCACTTTACGAGGCCGAGGTGATACGGAAGGGGGCAAGGAAGTGCTGGGAGGAAAAGGGCAGGTCCTTGGCGGGGGCTCCACCCCTGGGCCTGTGCCCATGGACCTAGGTGAGGACAGGCACTCCTGACCTCATGCGCAAATGTTGCATTTCCCAAGACCATCCTGGCCTGCCATGCCCCGACCCTGTGCCTGTAAAAACCCGAGACCCTAGCAGGCAAGCACACGAGTGGCTGAACGTCTCGAGGAACACATCGGCGGAAGAAGACTCGTGCAGCTCGACATTGAGAGGACCCGAGGAGAGCACGCCGGCACACCTGCAGGACTTCCACCCACAGAATGACGCAGAGTTTGGCTGGGGCGGTCAGGACCACCGAGCGGCTTGACTTCAGGGGCAAACCATCTCCCTTCTGGCTCCCCCACCTGCTGAGAGCTACTTCCACTCAATAAAACTTTGCACCCATTCTCCAAGCCCACGTGTGATCTGATTCTTCTGGTACATCAAGGCAAGAACTCGGATACAGAAAGCCCTCTGTCCTTTCGACAGAAGAGGGTCAAATTGAGCTGGTTAACACAAGCCGCCTCTAGACGGCTAAACTAAAGCGCACACGCCCACTGGGGCTTCAGGAGCCATAACCATTCACCCCTAGACCCTGCCATGGGCTGGGAGTCCCACAACCTGCCCACCTCTATGCTCCCCTAGAGGTTTGAGCAGCAGGACCCTGAAGAAGTGGGGCACTCCCCCTGTCACACATCCTGCGAGGGGAAAAAGGGAACTCTTTCCGTTTCAGAGGTGGGTGGATCACTTGAGGTCAGAAGTTCGAGACCAGCATGGCCAACATGGTGAAATTCCATCTCTACTAAAAATACAAAAATTAGCCGGGCGTGGTGATGTGTGCCTGTAGTCCCAGCTACTCAGGAGGTTGAGGCAGGAGAATCACTTGAACCCAAGAGGTGGAGGTCGCAGTGAGAGCAGATCGCACCACTGCACTCCAGCCTGGGCAACACAACAAGACTCCATCTCAAAAAAAAAAAAAAAATCCTTATGTGGGGCCCTTTCTGAGATATTCTAATTTCACTGGCCTGGGGTCTGGCCTAAGTGTTGGTGCAGGTGATTCTCATGGGCCAGCTGGTTAGGAACGACTGCTCTAGACAAGGGAGAGGACAGCATTTCTTCTGGAGGTGGGAAAGCACTGAGAGGGAAGGGGTGTGACGGAAGAACTTGAAGACAGATACATATGTAGTGTCTCCCATTCTTCTAGTTATTTAAATCAGCGCCTCTCAGACTTTACAGATGCATCCCCTGGGACCTTGTTAAAATGCAGATTCTCAGGGGCCTGAGTGTGGCCTGAGATTCTGCATTCCTAACAGAATCCTAGGGGATGCCACTGCTGCTGACCCACAAGCCACACTCTGTTTTGTAATTTTTTTTTGAGATGGAGTCTCCCTCTGTCACCCAGGCTGGGGTGCAGTGGTGTGGTTATGGCTCACTGTAACCTATGCCTCTTGGGCCCAAGTGATTCTCCCTCCTCGGCCTCCCAAGTAGCTGGGATTATAAGTGTGCACCACCATGCCTGGCCAATTTCTGTATTTTTTTTTAACTTTTTTTTTTTTTGGAGACAGTTTTGCTCTTCTTGCCCAGGCTGGAGTGCAATGGCATGATCTTGGCTCACTGCAACCTCCATCTACTGGGTTCAAGCGATTCTCCTGCTTCAGCCTCCTGAGTAGCTGGGATTACGTACATGCACCACCATGCCCGGCTAATTTTGTATTTTTAGTAGAGACAGGGTTTCCCCATGTTGTTCAGGCTAGTCTTGAACTGCCGACCTCAGGTGATCCACCTGCCTCAGCCTCCTAAAATGCTGGGATTACAGGCGTGAGCCACCGTGCCCGGCCAATTTTTGTATTTTTAACACAGATGGGGTTTCACCATGGTTGCCAGGCTGGTCTCAAACCCCTGACCTCAGTTGATCAGCCTCCCAAACTGCTAGGATTACAGGCATAAGCCACTGTGCCTGGCCATAAGCCACACTTTGGTCGGCAAGTCTTGACGTTTATAAAGTCTCCAGTCTTGTTTTGCTTAAGATCTGGCTTGTGTTAAGGTAAGCAGTACCACCCTGGTTTTAGAGATGAGGGATACTCAAAAGGAGGGAAGAGACGCTGGGCACAGTCCTAGGAAGCCATGGGTGGAGAGGCTTTGAGCCCTGGGTCAGATACTTCACACCTGCTGGTCATTTAACTGGCTGTCCATAGCTCAAACAGCAGCACCTGGTGGGGCCCAGGGCCACTCACTCCAAGCCCAGGGCCCGACTTTTTGCACCCCAACAGTCTTCAGCAGGGCATGAGACAACTTTACTACATTTGAAAGGAAAGACAAGGAGCAAAGAAAGCTCAGGGAGGAATGAGGGCATCTATAGATGCTATGATGGGAACTCAGCCCAGGGACAGTGGAGGAAGACAGCAGCAGCTGGAGTCAGCTTATACGTGGGCTTCCTAAGGCTGCCATGGATCATAGTTGCCCGAAAGGGATAGTCTCTAACCAAGCCAGGGTGGGAGCATAGAAGACACAGCAGTAGACTTTGTACAGCCAGAAGGTAACAGTTACAACGTAGGACCGTGGTTCTCAAGCTGCAATGTGCATCAGAACCACCGTAAGAGCTTGCTAAAATGCAGAGAGCTGGCTCTGGGATCCACCTCCGAACTGTGGACTCCAAAGGTGTGGAGCGCGGTTAGGTAATTTACATCTTTAAAAGTTTTCACGGTAGGCTGACGTTTGTCCAGGTGTGTCCCAAATTGGTGGGTTCTGTTTTGCTGACTTCTAGAACGAAACCACTGACCCTCGTACTGTTACAGTTGTTAAAAGATGGTGTGTCTAGAGTTTATACCTTCAACTGTTCAGATGCGTCTCAAATATTTTCCTCCTAGTGGGTTCGTGGTATATGCTGACTACAAGAATGCAGCTGCAAACCTTCATGGTGTTACAGCTTTTAAAAGCTACGTGTCTGGAGTCACTCGTCCCTTCTAGTGAGTTCACGATCTAGGGGTCTTCAGGAGGAAAGCTACAGACCTCTAAAATGAGTGTTGCAGCTCATAAAGACAGCACGACTACAAACACACCTACTACAGAATTTCAACAAATCGCGGCTGCTAGCTCGAACCACCTGCTTTTATTCCCTTATCTGACCCCACCCACATCCTGCTGATTGGCCCATTTTTCACAGGCTGCTGATTGGTGCATTTACGAACCTTGAGCTAGACACAGAAGTTCTCTGAGTCCCCACTAGATTAGCTAGACACAGAGCACTGATTGGTGCGTTTACAAACCTTTAGCTAGACACAGAATGCTGATTGGTGTATTTATAATCCCTGAGCTAGACACAGAGTGCTGATTGGTGCATTTACAATCCTCTAGCTACACATAAATGTTGTCCAAGTCCCCACCAAATTAGCTAGATACAGAGTGCTGATTGGTGCATCCACAAACCAACCCCCGCCCCCCAACCCGCAGCTAGACACACAGTGCTGATTGGCGCATATACAATCCTCCAGCTAGACATGAAAGTTCTTCAAGTCACCACCTGACTCAGGAGCCCAGCTGGCTTTCCTTAGGAGATCCTGCGCCGCGACCGCAGCTGGAGCTGCCCGCACTCCTACTGCGTGCGCCTGCACTCCTGAGCCGCTGGGTGGTCAATGGGACCGGGCGCCGCGGAGCAGTAGGCGGCGCCCCTTGGGGAGGCTCGGGCCGCATGGGAACCCCCTGCGGGGGTGCTCCGGCGTGGCGGGCTGCAGATTCGGAGCCCTGCCCCACGGGGAGGCGGCTGAGGCCCTGCGAAAATTCGAGCGCCGCGTGGGCGGGCTGGCAGTGATGGGGGACCTGGCGCCCCCTCCGCAGCTGCTGGCCCGGGTGCTAAGTCCCTCACTGCCTTGTGTTTGGAGCAGACACAAGACCACAGCCAGGTGAAGTAATAGAATTGGATGAGCTATGACAGAGAGGGTGCCAAGTGTTAGAGGGGTGAACTGATAGTCCATAAACCCCTCTTGCTTGCAGCTGGTCCGGTTTCCTCTGATCCTGGATTCTAAGGGTAGGCAGGGAAGGGTCCACGGACCCAGTTGAGAGTGTGGGAGGGCTAGGGACAATGACAGGCTGACCGACGCAAATGCAGACAGACCCACGTGCAGCAAACCAGGAAATCACCATGGCTACACAGAAAGGGGCATTTGCACATAATACATACTGTTAGGACCCATTATCAAAGGAACAGAATTCCATTCTTAGTTGTACATTCCTGAATGCTAGTACAAGAACCTAATCCGTGAACACTCTCCTAAGGCCACCCTTAAGGAGATTTCCATCAGAGGTTAAATGGTCAGAAGCTGCAGGGTAGGGACTGCAGCTTCATGGAGGGAGAAGGTGGGCAACAGCTGGCAAATCCCCTGAGAATATTCCAGAAGAGGCTGAGGAATCACTGACCAGTTCTCCTGCTGATGGGGTGAGGTTTGGGGTTGGAGCACTTGGTCTTTGAGGACCCTCCTTGTTCTGACCGTGTATGGTATGGTATGGTATGTCCTGGGTCCTGTCTGTGCCCTGCCTGCTGTTCCAAAGGCTGCCCCCGTCCCCTCCTGTCAGGAGCAGAAGGGGCCTTGAAAAAGAGAATTCGGTTGAGTTCCCGGCTGTTTCTTGGGTAAATGGCAACTTATTCAAGATGTACAATTGTCTGAATAAAATGTAGTTAATTTGTGTTTATGGTATTGTTACTGAAACATCAGGGGTTTGGTCTAGGTCCTGCTGCCTGCAGCACAGAAAGTCAAGGACTGAGCTGATGAGTACTGCCAAGGAAGAAGGCTTTAATCAGGTGCTGAAGCCGACAAGATGGGAGCTCAGCCTGAAATCCATCTCCCTGACTGACTAAAATTAGGGGTTTTATATAGCAGGGAAGAAATGTAACAATGTGTAAGAAAACAGGAACTAAGAAGAAGCAAGGAAGCAATCCTGATGAAGGAGAAGTCCAGCATCTCATTGTCTGGATTCTGTGATCTGGTGAGTTTCAGTCCTTTCTTACTTTTTTCTTGAGAGGGCTGAAGGTAGTTTCCTGAAGAAGGAACTGAGATTAAAAAAAAATAAATGTTTATATGTTTTAAAATTTCAAATATGAATTTCAAGCTTTAAGGCCAGAAGGGTCAATTTCTATGTTTATCAAAAAGAACTGTCTATGGGACTATTGGGTCAGTTTCATTATAAGGGTCCAAGTTCATTCATTTGCTTATGGATATCCTGTTTTCCCAGAACCATCGATTAAGAGAAAATTTTTTCCCCATTGTGGATGTTGACTGCATATGCTTGGGTTTATTTCTGGGCTCTCTACTCTGTTTCATTGGTCTATGTGTCATGTCTGTTTTTATGCCACTACCATACTGTTTTGATTACTATAGTTTTGTAATATAGTTTGAAATAAAAAAGTATGATGTCTCCAGCTTTGTTCAGGATTGTTTTGGCTATTCAGGGTCTTCTGGTGGTTTCATACTGCATGATCTCACTTGTATGTAGAATCTAAAAAAGTCAAACTCACAGACGCAGAGTAGAAGGGTGGTTACCAGAGGCTGGGAAGTGGGAAATGGGGAGATGTTGGTCAAAGAATACAAACTTTCAGTTATAAGATGAATAAGTCTTGGAGATCTAATGTACAGCATGATGACTATAGTCAGTAATGCTGTATTGTCTACTTGAAATTTGCCAAGACAGTAGATCTTAAGAGTTCTCACTACAAAATAACTGTGAGATAATAAATGTGTTAATTAGCTTGATTGTGTAATCATTTTGCAATCAATACATACAGCATAGCATCACATTGTATACGTTGAATGTATGCATTTATTTGTTAACTATTGATACAGTTGTAAAAAATTCAAAACAAATACAAAGGAAATAAACTATATGTGAACATTATGGCTGTTTCTCATAAAGCCTCTCATACCACTGGGCCCAGTGGCTCACACCTGTAATCCCATTACTCTGGGAGGCCAAGGCAGGTGAATTGCTTGAGCCCAGGAATTCACCCAGCCTGGACAACATGGTGAAACCCCTACTCTACCACACACACACACACCCAAAAAACTAGCTGGGCATGGTGGTGCACACCTGTGGCCCCTTGAGCACTTGAGCCCAGGAGGTCGAGGCTGCAGTGAGCTGTGATCACGCCACTGCACTCCAAACTGGGTGATAGAGTGAGACCCTGTCTCAAAAAAAAAAAAAAGCCTCTCATACCAAGGCTAACTAAAATAAAAGCAAGTGTATTCTTTTAAACTCCGTGGGTACTGCTGTTATGGTGGATCATCTCCTACACTGGGTTATAGTTATTTGTGCACTTGTCTGTCTTCCCCTACTAGACTGTGGGTTGTTTAAGCAGAGTTCACCTCTCTTAATAATGGCTTCGTCTTGCATGTGTACACTTCTTTAGAGAGACTGAGCCTTCCTTATCCATCATATTTGATCCTTGGCGAGGGAGGTCAAGTGGGCATTACCATTATATACTCATTTGGTAGTAAGGATTAAACACCTTGCCTCAGTGGATATGGAATAGTGGTTTCCAGTGTTACAGACCAGCTGGTCTGTTCACTACTCTGTCTGCAGCCTTATGCAGGCTACTTGACCTCTCTAAGCTTTGGGTTTTTTTCATCTTCAAAAAGAAGACAACACCTCAAACAATTTTTGTAAGCCTTGAGGTAGTGTGTATATATAGAAATAGAGCTTTAACACAAGTACCTTTCACATAACAAATGCCCAATAAATGTTAGCATTATTGCTGTAAGCACAAAGCCTGAGTCTTACTCCTCTGTTAGCACTCATTATTATTTATTGAGCAATTACTATATGCTAAGCCTTGTGCTGTGTGCTTCGCCTCAGCTACCCTTCACAAAACCGTGTGAGCTCTTTAAAAAATTATATTTATTTATTTATTTATTTTTGAGACGGAGTCTCGCTCTGTTGCCCAGGCTGGGGTGCAGTGGCGTGATCTCGGCTCACTGCAACCTCTGCCTCCCGGGTTCAAGTGATTCTCCTGCCTCAGCCTCCCAAGTAGCTGGGACTACAGGCGCCCGCCACCACACCCAGCTAATTTTTTATATTTTTAGTAGAGACGGGGTTTCACTGTGTTAGCCAGGATGGTCTCAATCTCCTGACCTCATGATCCACCTGCCTCGGCCTCCCAAAGTGCTGGGATTATAGGCGTGAGCCACTGCGTCCAGTTATTTTTATTTTATAGATGAGGAAACCTTGACCCAGAGGTTTAGCTCCCAAGCCAGATGTGGTGGCTCACACCTGTAATCCCAGCACTTTGGGAGGCTGAGGCGGGAGGATCGCTTGAGCCCAGGAGTCCAAGACCAGCCTGGGCTACATGGCAAGACCTCGTTTCTATAAAAAATACAAAAATTAGCCAGGTGTGATGGGGTATGCCTGTAGTCCCAGCTACATAGGAGGCTGAGGTGGGAGGATTGCTGGAGCCGGGAGACAAAGGTTGCAGTGAGCCAAGATCACACCACTGCACTCTAGCCTGGGTGACAGAGTGAGGTGATCACTGCACTTCTGCCGTGGCCTCTCAAAGTATGCAGCCAATATTTAAACCCATGTCCTGCTAATATTTGTGTTTATGCTTGTTACCATTATGCTAAGTTGCCTCCCCAGATTTTTCATGTGTGTACTCCCCTTGGGGTCTAAGCTCAATTCTGGATTCAAAGGTAGGCAAGAATGACCTCTCGGGCTCTGTCCAAGTTACTTTCAGTTTGGTTTATTTCCAAGCCACCCCAAAATACGATGGAAATATCAGTTACAGCTACAAAAGAGTGAGTAGACAAGCTCCCAGGGCGGTCCTCATTCCACATGGAAGAATGCCCTGAGACCTGTGGCCAGAGAAACCCTCAGCAGATAAGGCTGCTCGGCTAAGGGTGGCTAGGGGATGGGCCATGCCCGCACGCTTGGTCCTTGAGAAGTAAATCTGCTCCTTGTCTAGTTTCCACGATTTCAACAGCTAACAGGAGGCCGCCATGGCCCACCCAACTCATCATACAAGATGCTTAAGAAATACAACTTGGGAGCAAATATATGCATGACAAAGGCCAAAGAGCTTGGAAGGGAGAGATTTGAAGACATACAAAAAGAATGATAGACCCTGATCAGAAGAGACCTCACTCAGAGGTACTTTGTTTAGAGGCCTGAAGGAAGCTAATGTGAATAATATTGATTGCTTATTAGGTGCTCTGCCAGATGCATTCAACATCTTTCCACATTAGATCCTCCCAAAGTTACCATGATAATGATCCTCTGTCGTATATTATAATGACTTGGGGTGGGGGGTTAAAAATACAGAGGTCATGTCAATTGCAATCTGCCCCTCCACCCCCAGCAGGACTTCTGTGAAGAGGTGGGGTGGCGGGAAGTGTAGTCTACCTTCCCTAGTCCCCCATATTGAGAATTCTGCCCTATGAAATTATAATTCTAGATTTTATATATATATATATATATATATATATATATATATGTTCTGTATATATATTATAAAAGAATCTATCATACTTTTATAATTACAGTTGACCTGGCCAGGTGCAGTGGCTCATGCCTGTAATCTCAGTACTTTGGGAGGCCAAGGCAGGAGGATCGCTTGAGCCCAGGAGTTCTAGACTAGCCTGGGCAACATAGCAAGACTTTGTCTATACACACACACACACACACACACACACACACACACACACACAGCAATTAGCTGGGCATGGTGGCATGCACTTGTGGGCCCAGCTACTCAGGAGGCTGAGGTGGGAGGATGGCTTGAGTCCAAGTTGAGGCTGCAGTGACCCATGATCATACCACTGCTCTCCAGCCTGGGCAACATAGGGAGACCGTGTCTCAACAAAAGGAAAATACAGTTGACCCTTGAACAACATGAGAGTCAGGGGCACTCACCCCACCCCTGCAAAGTAAATAATCTGAATATCTCTTTTGACTCTCCCCAGATTTAACTACTGATTGCTTGCTGCTGATTGAAGTCTGACTGATGATGTAAATGATTAACACCTATTTTGCATGTTATGGGTATTATACACTATATTCTTCCAACAAAGTAAGCCAGAGAAAACAAAACATTAAGAAAAGTATAAGGAAGAAAACATATATTTACTATTCATTAAGTGGAAACAGATAATCATAAAGGCCTTCATCCTTGTCTTCACAATGTTGAGTAGTCTGAGGGGGAGGAAGGAGAGGAGGGGTTGGTCTTGCTGTCTCAGGTGGCAGAGGTGGAAAAGGTGGAGGAGGTGGAAGGGGAGGCAGGAGAGGCAGGCACACTCGGGGTAACTTTTATTGAAAAAAAATTGCACGTAAGTGAACCCACACAGTTCAAACCTGTGGTGTTCAAGGGTCAGCTGTATTTTCCCCATTTGAAGTCTGAGACTACAAGGTTCAGAAACCTGCCCTTACCCAAGATCATATAATTAATTACATGGTGGAGTTAAGATTACAACTCACTTCTGTCTAGGTTTTCCCACTACAACACACTGCTGTATGCTGTTTTGTGCACTGGAACTTAAAGAGAACTAGATTCATTTTTAACTTGACTGTTGACCTATGGAATCACCCACGGAGCCTACCTTCTCAGTCTCTTGCATTTTTCTCCCTCCCCTGAGGAAAGCCTGGTCTGCATGTGGTCCATTCTCTCAGACTGAAGGGGGAGGGCTCCAAGGAGCTCCAAGGAGCTCAGCATCTTCCGAAGGTGCCTGGGGTCACGGTTATATTTAACACAGAGTGTGCCTGCTACCCTTAACACATTTTCATTATTTGCAAACAGGCAAAAATGATGAAAGCCTGGAAATTAGCACAGAAGCAAATCAGTTATTTGGAGCATGTATTCTGTCTTCAGGATTCTCAACTTTGGGAGGGAAATATTTACATAATTGAGTGTAGCTTTTGTTTTCGTTGAGATGTTTGGCAGCGTGTGAGCCAAATCTGAATCAGATTACTAGTCCTGTTTTCTCAATGCATGGCTTGGCTTGCTTGTGTGTACTTAATGTGGAATAGATGCTCACATAGAATTCATGTTAAGAGTATTCTTCCCTGCTTATTTTTAAAATTAATTAATTATTATTTTTTAAAAGTAAAGACGAGGTCCAGCCCAAAAACTCCTTAAGCTGATAAACAACTTCAGCAAAGTCTCAGGATACAAAATCAATGTGCAAAAATCACAAGCATTCCTATACACCAAGAACAGAGAGCCAAATCATGAGTGACTCCCATTCACAATTGCTACAAAGAGAATAAAATACCTAGGAATCCAACCTACAAGGGATGTGAAGGACCTCTTCAAGGAGAACTACAAACCACTGCTCAATGAAATAAAAGAGGACACAAACAAATGGAAGAACATTCCATGCTCATGGATAGGAAGAATCAATATCATGAAAATGGCCATACTGCCCAAGGTAATTTATAGATTCAATGCCATCCCTATCAAGCTCCCAATGACTTTCTTCACAGAATTGGAAAAAACTACTTTAAAGTTCATATGGAAGCAAAAAAGAGCCCGCATTGCCAAGACAATCCTAAGCCAAAAGAACAAAGCTGGAGGCATCACACTACCTGACTTCAAACTGTACTACAAGGCTACAGTAACCAAAACAGCATGATACTGGTACCAAAACAGAGATAAAGACCAATGGAACAGAACAGAGGCCTCAGAAATAAAACCACACATCTACAGCGATCTGATCTTTGACAAACCTGACAAAAACAAGGAATGGGGAAAGGGTTCCCTATTTAATAAATGGTGCTGGGAAAACTGGCTAGACATATGTAGAAAGCTGAAACTGGATCCCTTCCTTACACCTTAAACAAAAATTAATTCAAGATGGATTAAAGACTTAAATGTTAGACCTAAAACCATAAAAACCCTAGAAGAAAACCTAGGCAGTAGTACCATTCAGGACATAGGCATGGACAAGGAATTCAAGTCTAAAACACCAAAAGCAATGGCAACAAAAGCCAACATAGACAAATGGGATCTAATTAAACTAAAGAGCTTCTGCACAGCAAAAGAAACTACCATCAGAGTGAACAGGCAACCTACAGAATGGGAGAAAATGTTTGCAATCTACTCATCTGACAAAGGGCTAATATCAAGAATCTACAAAGAACTTAAACAAATTTACAAGAAAAAAAAAACAACCCCATCAAAAAGTGGGCAAAGGATATGAACAGACATTTTTCAAAAGAAGACATTTATGCAGCCAATAGACACATGAAAAAATGCTCATCATCACTGGCCATCAGAGAAATGCAAGTCAAAACCACAATGGGATACCATCTCACACCAGTTAGAATGGCGATCATTAAAAAGTCAGGAAACAACAGGTGCTGGAGAGGATGTGGACAAATAGGAACGCTTTTATGCTGCTGGTGGGACTGTAAACTAGTTCAGCCATTGTGGAAGACAGTGTGGCAATTCCTCAAGGATCTAGAACTAGAAATACTATTTGACCCTGTGATCCCATTACTGGGTATATACCCAAAGGATGATAAATCATGCTGCTATAAAGACACATGCACACGTATGTTTATTGCGGCACTATTCACAATAGCAAAGACTTGGAACCAACCCAAATGTCCATCAGTGATAGACTGGATTAAGAAAATGTGGCGCATATACACCATGCCATAAAAAAGGATGAGTTCATGTCCTTTGTGGGGACATGGATGAAGCTGGAAACCATCATTCTCCGCAAACTATCACAAGGACAGAAAACCAAACACCGCATGTTCTCACTCATAAGTGGGAATTGAACAATGAGAACACTTGGACACAGGGTGGGGAACATCACACACTCGGGCCTGTCGTGGGGTGGGGGGATGGGGGAGGGATAGCATTAGGAGAAATACTTAATGTAAATGAGGAATTAATGGGTGCAGCAAAGCAACATGGCACATGTATACCTATGTAACAAACATGCACATTGTGCACATGTACCCTAGAACTTAAAGTATAATAATAATAATAAAAAAGTCAGTTTAGGATGCATAGGAAGTCTAGTACCTGAAGAAGAATATCAATAAAGGCCGGGCATGGTGGCTTACGCCTGTAATCCCAGCACTTTGGGAGGCCGAGGCGGGCGGATCATGAGGTCAGGTGATCTAGACCATCCTGGCTAACATGGTGAAACCCCATCTGTACTAAAAAATACAAAAAATTAGCTGGGCGTGGTGGTGGGCGCCTGTAGTCCCAGCTACTCGGGAGGCTGAGGCAGAAGAATGGCATGAACCCAGGAGGCAGAGCTTGCAGTGAGCCGAGATCGTGCCACAGCACTCCAGCCTGGGCGACAGAGCGAGACTCCGTCTCAAAAAAAAAAAAAAAGAATAATTATATTACTAACTTGTGAAATAATTATTTAATAAAGATTTAGTTGTAAAATGTGAAAAAAAAAAAAAAAGTAGAGACGAGGTCTCCCAATGTTGCCCAGGCTGGTCTTGAACTCCTGGGCTCAAGTGATCCTCCCATCTTGGCCTCCTAAAGTGCTGGGATTACAAGCATGACTACTGTGTGTGGCCTGATTATTTTTTTATTGTGGTAAAACATATGTAACATGCATTTTACCATCTTAACCATTTCTGAGTGTACAGCTCAGTGGCACTAAGTACATTCACCATGTTGTGCAGCCATCACCACCATCTATCTCTAGAACTTTTTCATGTTCCCAAACTGAAACTCTGTACCCATTAAACACCAACTCCCCATTCTCCCTCCCCCAGCCCCTGGCAGCCCCCATTCTACTTCCTGTCTCTGTGAGTTTACTCCTAGGGACCTCATACAAGTGGAATCATGTAGTATTTGCCCTTTTGTTTCACTGAGCATAATGTCTTCAATGTTCATCCACGTTGTGAATAATGCTGCTGTGATCATGGAGGTACAAATATCTATTCCAGTCCCTCCTTTCAATCTTGTTTATTTATTTTTGTATTTTGTTTTTATTTTTGTGGTCTGTGTCATCTTTAGCACTGAGAATTAATACTCTTTCCAGTTCCCCAGAATAGCATTTTGGGGTCCTCCTTCATTACTGTATTGCAAAAGCAAAGCAAAAAAAAAAAAAATGAGTGGAAAAATGTTTCTGACAATAAACTTGTAGAAAAAGCTATTTGCTTCCTGCTTTGAATCTTGCTATTATATCGCCCACTGGTAATTCCATTTCAGGACACGTCAAGCGGTTGGTCTTTCTGTTTACTGGCCAACATGTGGTTTGTAGGGGAGGCTGTGGAGAGCGCAGCCAGCCGCTCCGGCACGACACTGGGGCTCCTGCCAGCCCTCCCGCTCTTCTGCAACGGTCTGCCCATGTTCCACTTGAGACAGGCACCTGCCTGGCTGCATCACGCTCTGTCACTTCCTTCCCTGTATTTCAAATTGAGCTTTCAAAGCCCTAAGCAGCCGCCTGGTTGAGAAGTCATTAAAAAACAAAACAAAACAAAACAAAACAAAAAAAACAACAGCACGTACAGAACAGCTCATTTCTACGAACTCACTTTTAAAAGGTTGGCTTTATTCAGGTTTCAACCCTGACGCCTCTCAAACCCTCCCGTCTGGGTGTCTTTGTGCATTTTAGCTTTCCCTGGGCCCTACACGCCATTTGGAGGGGGTGGTCTTGCTTGCGCTTCATTACAGGAAAGTTATTCCGCATCTCCAAAGGCTTATAAATCTGCTCCCCAGATGGAAGTCTCCAGCAGAGGTTCCTGTCTTTGTGCAAGTCGCAAATTTCCCTTCAATTTCAATTCAACAAGTGAATAATCACGCGGATGAGGTAAATTGTAATACCCACCTCTCCTCTCACATTTTTTTTTTAAACTTTTAAAGTGAACACTGTTGTGAATTCTGACTTTTTTCCCCTTGGTTTATGATTAGCCAAGTCTGCAGCAGGTGATTCCTCAAGAAGAGACGGCAAGGATGAGTGGAAGGCCTTTAACCAATGTACAGCCTGGAGTAAGCAAAATGTCTCCAAGTGACAGCATATTTACTAGTAAAGGAATTTCATAACACGAGTTTTGAGTTTATTGGGGTGGTTTGTAAGAACCTAAGATTTGATTTTAAGGGAAAGTTAAGGGACAGGTACATCTGGGGCCAAAGGCCTGGGGACCTGCAGTGTGACCTTGGAGTGAAAAGGTGGGCCTCCCAAGCTGGACACGGGTACCCTCTCAGCACTGCAGACTCAGGCATTGTTGGGGCATTTAGGTCTGGTGACCTGGTGCTGTCTGACAGCAAGAGGGACCTGGAGCGTTGGACTGTCCTCTAAATCACACAGCTGTGGCTGGATTTTTCACTCTGCCTGTGCGCTGCTGCTTTGGATAACGAGTATAAAAAATGTGCAGTCCTCTTTATAACTGGTACACAATTGTCTCAGCTTTTTATGGTATTTTAAAATAATCAGAAAAGTACCACATATTGATCAAAACAATTAAACAATACAGAGCAGCATCAAGAAAACACTTAAGGCTGGGTAAGGTCCCTCACCCCTCTAATCCCAGCACTTTGGGAGGCCAAGGTATGGGATCACTTGAGGCCAGGAGTTCAAGTTCAGACTGGGCAGCATAGCAAGACGCCACCTCTACAAAAAATAAGAAAATTAGAGAAGCGTGGTGGGGAATACCTGTAGTCCCAGCTACTTAGGCTGAAGCAAGAGGATCACCTGACGGCAGGAGTTTGAGGCTGCAGTGAGCTATGATCACACCACTGCATTCCAGCCTGGGTGCAATGCAGTCTCTTTCTCTCTCAGAAAGTATTCCTTCCTTCAGGTTTCTACCCACCCCCTCCAGGCTCCATCATGGCATTGCTAATGATCCTTTGTTTTCCTTTCTGTGTATGTGTCTTCCTCCGTCGCCCAGGCTGGAGTAGTCACGCAATCTCAGCTCACTGCAACCTCCGCATCCCGAGCTCAAGCCACCAGCCTCCCTCAGCCTGCCAAGTAGCTAGGACTACAGGCACACACCACACCTGACTGATTTTTGTTGTATTTTTAGTAGAGATAGGGTTTTACCATGATGGCCAGGCTGGTCTGACTCCTGACCTCAGGTGATCCACCCGCCTTCAGCCTCCCAAAATACTGGGATTACAGGCGTTGAGCCACCGAGATTGCCTTGTTCTCCTAAGGACAAGTCATATATACACCAGACAGTTATATATTAAAAAGTGGAGCCACAGTGTGTGTAGGACCAGGTAGGCTCTTGGTCTCACTAACTTCAGGAATGAAGCCACGGACTCCCCTGGTGACTGTTGTCTGGAGTTTGTTGCATCTGATGTTCGGATGTATTTAGTTTCTTCTTTCTAGCAGAGTTCGTGATGTTACTAGCTCAAGAACGAAGTTAGGGACCGTTCACGGTAAGTATCGCAACTCTTAAGGGAAGTGTGGACCCAGAATAACCAGCTGCAAAATTTTAAAGAACAAACATCCATCAGCGTAAGAAGGAGATCTGAGCGAGTTGCCACTGCTGGCTGGGGCAGCCTGCTTTTATGCTCTTATCTGGCCCCACCCATATCCTGCTGATTGGTCCATTATACAGAGAGCCGAGTGGTCTGTTTTGACAGGGTGCTGATTGGTGCGTTTACAATCCCTGAGCTAGACACAAAGGTTCTCCAAGTCCCCACCAGAGTAGCTAGATACAGAGTGTCCATTGGTGCATTCACAAACCCTGAGCTAGACACAGGGTGTTGATTGGTGTGCTTACAAACCTTGAGCTAGATACAGAGTGCCGATTGGTATTTTACAATCCCTTAGCTAGACATAAAGGTTCTCCTAAGTCCCCCACCAGAGTCAGGAGCCTAGCTAGCTTCACCCAGTGGATTCTGTACTGGGGCCGCAGGTGGAGCTACCAGCTAGTCCCGAGCTGTGGGCCCGCACTCCTTAGTCGTTGGGTGGCGGATGGGACTGGGCGCCGTGGAGCAGAGGCCGGCGCTCGACGGGGAGGCTCGGGCTGCACAGGAGCCCACGGGGGAAGGGGGTGGCTCAGGCATGGACTGCAGGTCCTTAACCCTGCCCTGCAGGGAGGCAGCTAAGGCCTGGCGAGAAATCGAGCGCAGCGCCGGTGGGCCGGTATTGTTGGGGGACCCAACACACCCTCTGCAGCCGCTGCCCCGGGTACTAAGCCTCTCATTGCCGGGGGCCGGCCGGGTCGGCCGGCCGCTCCGAGTGCGGGGCCCGCAGAGCCCACACCCACCAGGAACTCGTGCTGGCCTGCAAGCACCGCGCGCAGCCCCGGTTCCTGCCCGCGCCTCTCCCCTCCACACCTTCCTGCAAGCTGAGGGAGCCGGCTCTGGCCTTGGCCAGCCCAGAAAGGGGCTCTCACAGTGCAGCGGCGGGCTGAGGGGCTCCTTAAGCGCGGCCAGAGTGGGCGCCAAGGCCGAGGAGGCGCAGAGAGCGAGCGAGTGCTGCAAGAGCTGCCAGCATGGTGTCATCTCTCACTGGAATTATGGATACCCGGCCATAAGTACTGAAGCTTTTACTTCTGTGGAATACATATCTTGAAGTAGGATTGCTGGGTATGCCCAATTTTAATTTTAACACATATTGACAGTTTAATTTCCAAACAATAGAGCAATTCGAGCAATTCACACTGCCACCAGCAGTGTGTGAGCATGCACATTTCTCTACGTTCTCACAAAGACTAGATGCGGATAATGTTGTAACGTTTTGTCAACTATATCTCGTTATTATTTTTTGAGACGGAGTCTCGCTCTGTCGCCCAGGCCGGAGTGCAGTGGTGGGATCTCGGCTCACTGCAAGCTCCGCCTCCCGGGTTCATGCCATTCTCCTGCCTCAGCCTCCCCAGCAGCTTGGACTACAGGCGCCCACCACCACGCCCAGCTAATTTTCTGCATTTTTTTAAGTAGAGATGGGGTTTCACCGTGTTAGCCAGGATGGTCTCGATCTCCTGACCTAGTGATCCGCCCGCCTCGGCCTCCCAAAGTGCTGGGATTACAGGCGTGAGAAACCGCGCCTGGCTATTTTTTATTTAAAAAAAAATTTATTTACTTATTTATTTATTTTTGAGACAGAGTCTTACTCTGTGGCTAGGCTGGAATGCAGTGGCTTAATCTCAGCTCACTGCAATCTTCGCCTCCTGGGTTCAAGCGATTCTTCTGCCTCAGCCCTCTGAGTAGCTGGGGCTACAGGTATGCAGCACCAAGCCCAGCTAATTTTTGTATTTTTAGTAGAGATGGTCTTGATCTATTGACCTTGTGATCTGCCCGCCTCGGCCTCCCAAAGTGTTGCTATTGCAGGCTTGAGCCACTGCGCCCGGCCCTCATTATTGCTTTAATTTATAATTCCCTTGTCACTAGAGAGATTGAGCCTTTTTTTCATTTACTTCTTGGTCATTTGCATTTCTTCTTGTGTGAATTGCCTGCCTATATATTATGATTCCTATGTCTTTGGGTTGTTTCTCTATTGATTTATAGGATTAAAACATACTAAGCTTGGTGTAGTGGTGCATGCTTGTAGTTCCAGCTACAAGGCTGAGGCAGGAGGATTGATTGAGGCCAGGAGTTCTGGGCTGTAGTGTGCTATGCTGATCAGGTGTGTACACTAAATTCAGTATCAATAAGGTGACCTCCCGGGAGTGGAGGATCACCAGGTTGCCTAAGTAGGGGTAAACTGGCCCAGGTGGAAATGAAGCGGGTCAGAACTCCTGTGCTGATCAGTAGTGGGATCACACCTGTTTATAGCCACTGCACTCCAGCCCGGGCAACAGGAGACTCCATATTTTTTTTAAAAGTAAATAAAATTAGAGATCTTAATATTAACCTAGAAGTTATCATAGTGTTAAGTATTTTCTTCTAGCCTCTTGTTTATCTATTGATTTTTTGGGTGTTTTTTGTCATGCAGACACCATGACACTATGGCAAAATTTTCTTGCAGTGAAATCTCTCAATCTTTTTCTTTGGCTTCTAAGATTTTGGTTTTAAGACTCTTTCTATTTCAAGAAAACATTTTCCCCCTGTATTTCCTTCTAAAGCTTGTATTGATTATTTTTGACATTAAAACTCTTCATCTCTCTTGGACTTTATTTTTTAGTATGGTATGGAGAAGGAGGCATCTAATTAATTTTTTTTCCGGAGGCTTTTTTTTTTTGGAGACGGAGTCGTGCTCTGTTGCCCACGCTGGAGTGCAGTGGTGCAATCCTGGCTTACTGCAGCCTCTGCCTCCAGGGTTCAAGCGATTCTCCTGCCTCAGACTCCAGAGTAGATGGGATTACAAGCATGCCCGCCCAACATGCCCGCCGAATTTTTCCACTTTTAGTAGAGATGGGGTTTCGCTGTGTTGGCCAGACTGGTCTTGAACTCCTGACCTCAAATGATCCGCCAGCCTCGGCCTCCTGAAGTGCTGGAATTACAGGCGTGAGCCACCTCACCAGGCCTTTCAGTTGCTTTCGAGTCATGCCAACGTTATGTATGAAATAAATGTTTTTGTCCCCCCTTGGGTTGATGTGCTTCCTTTATGATATAGTTAAGTTTCCATAGATTGTTGAATCTACTTCTAGGCTCTCTATTTTTTATTAATCTATTTGTCTGTTTCTGTGCCAATTCTATAGAGTTTACAATGGCTTTCATAGTTTTAGTATACGGAGGGCAAGCTCTCTCATCATTTTTGTTTGAAAACTTTGTTTTCAGCCATTAAAAAAAGTCTGGTGGGCCGGGCGCGGTGGCTCACGCCTGTAATCACAGCACTTTGGGTGGCTGAGAAGGATGGATCACGAGGCCAGGAGCTCGAGACCATCCTGGCTAACACGGTGAAACCCCGTCTCTACTAAAAATATAAAAAATTAGCCGGGCGTGGTGTCCGGCACCTGTAGTCCCAGCTACTTGGGAGGCTGAGGCAGGAGAATGGCGTGAACCCAGGAGGTGGAGCTTGCAGTGAGCCGAGATCGCGCTACTGCACTCCAGCCTGGGCGACAGAGCAAGACTCTGTCTCCAAAAAACAAAAATCAAAAACAAAAACAAAAAAAGTCTGGTGGACCGGGCGTGGTGGCTCACACCTGTAAGCCCAGCACTTTGGGAGGCCAAGGTGGACAGATCATTTGAAGCCAGGAGTTCGAGACCAGCTTGGCCAAAATGGTGAAACCGTATCTATACTAAAAATACAAAAATTAGCTGGGTGTGGTAGTGCATGCCTATAATCCCAGCTACTCAGGAGGCTGAGGCACGAGAATCACTCAAACCTGGGAAGCAGAGGTTGCAGTGAGCCAATATCGTGTCACTGCACTCCAGCTTGGGTAACAGCGAGACTCCATCTCAAAAAAAAAAAAAAAAAAAAAAAAGTCTGGTGAACATAATTTTTAGTAGCTCCGTGAAATTCCCCTGTGCACGTGCCTGTGTTTGCGGTAGCATCTGAGATGACCACTCTAGTTTCTCTCCAGCCATGTGTCTTTCCATGCTGAGCCTCTAGCAGGCTCTCCTTCTCACCCTCCCAGTTTTGATCCCAACATTTCTGCCTACCCTATCCCCAGGCAGGCTAACTTGTCCTGCCTTTGAGCTTCCAGCTTAGCAGATATTTCTCCTGGCAAGACTGCCACAGCTCCATCCCTGTTGGTCAGAGTTCCTTAGCCAGGCCTGGTAGCTCATGCCAGTAATCCTAGTTACTCTGGAGGCTGAGGCTGGAGGATCACTTGAGGTCAGGAATTTGAGACCAGCCTGGGCAACACAGTGAGACCCCATCTCTTGAAATAAATAATAATAATAGAGTCTCTCTTCATAGTCCCAAGGCATGCTGTTGCCCCATGCAGGCTCCAGGTGGCAAGAAGAAGGTATGGTCTAAAACCATTCAGGAGAACCTCAGAATCTCTTTACAAAGATGGGGGCAGGTTTATGGAAAACCAGCTGGCTAGCACTGGGGAAACCGTGGCCAGCCGAAGCCTGAAGGGGCAAGAAGAAAGAGTCCCTCAAGTGCAGGGAAGCCTCCTGATGGAAGCATTGGTAAGGAGCAGATCCTGTGCCAATCTGCAGCCTGGTAGGGAGGGACTCCTCCTTCTCTCCACCTATTCTCCCTTCTCCTCCTAGAGCCTCCTTCTAGTCAGCCCTAAGGGGAGCCAGAAGGAAAATGAGCCCTTTGATAGAGTTCTTAAAGGCCAGGCAGGGCCTGGGGCTGGAGCAGGATAGAGAGTGTGCCCGGAGGGGCAGAGGGTGTGTCCAGCACCTGCCCAAGTGTGTGGCCCTGCAGGGTGCCAACTTCCACATGCCCACGAAAGATTCCTCAAGTCAGGAACTGTGCTTTATCTCTTTGGGGATATTCCACCAGGAAATAACCTTTTGAAAAGGGGAAAATTAGTAACTTTGCACAATAATATTCATAATACCTCTATTTATAGTGGTGGAGAATTAGAAAGGGCCACAATAGAGAATCTGTCCAGCAAAGCAGCCAGAATGGGTCATTTATGATTTATGATTATGATTCTCAGGTGGACCCTGTCAACACCTGCAAAATGGGGGCATACAATGACAAATGACAAAAGCAAACCTACTGATTATACATATGTCAGTAGGTGTACATGTGTACTATATAGGAAGAGATTCAAGGCATATATGTTCATAAAGAAAAGGGCTAAATGTCAAATCCCATAATTTAAGAGGAAAACAGCAGACTTCTTTTTTTTTTCAGATTTAAGTTTTTTTTGTTTTGAGAGACAGCGTTTCACTATGTTGCCCAGGCTGGTCTTGAACTCCGACCTCAAGTGATCCTCCTGCCTTGGCCTCCCAAAGTGCTGGGATTACAGGTATGAGCCACTGCATGCAGCCCCAATAGAGCAAACTTCTGATATAATGTATCCCCAAATTAGTGCAAAGCGGTTAGAATACTTAGGACTGTGCACAGTATAAAAATGTAGGAAAGACATCTTACTTAAGGAAACTGTACTGGGAAAAGCCACTCGGCTTTTGACAGCTATTACCGCAGCTTCCAATATTTTCATTGGATATGAAGCTCCTTGTCAAATACACTGTCGTAGATGTGAGGTGAATTTATTGCAAAGGGTCTTAAAGTTTCTCAAACTTTCTTTTTTCTTTCTTTTTTTTTTTTTTTTTAGAGACAGGGTCTCGCTCTGTGGTCCAGGCTGGAATGAAGTAGTGCAATCATGGCTCACTGCAGCCTCCACCTCCCAGGCTCAGGTGATCCTCCCACCTCAGCCTCCCAAGTAGCTGTGACTACAGGCATGAACCACAAAGCCTGGCTTATTTTTTAAAGAGATGGGATTTCGCTAAGTTGCCTAGGCCGGTCTCGAACTTCTGGGGTCACGAGATCTGCCCGCCTCAGCCTGCCAAACTGTTGTGATTACAAGTGTGAGCCACTGCACCCAACCAAGTTTCTTAAACATTCACGTGCATGGGTATCTCCTGGGGATCTTGACAAAATGCGGATTCTGATTCTGTAGGTCTGGGTGGGCCTGAGAGTCCCCCTTTCTATCAGGCTCCATGGGATGCCCACACTGTGGGTCCTGACTATAGCCTGAGTAGCCGCGGTCGGTGGAGTTGCTTGTTTGCTTTTTTACCTTTTAAAACATGTATATGAAGTTTGCAGATATAAAATTTATATGTCCTTTGTCATCCACCCTCCCCTTCTCTTCCAGATTCTGGTATGCCTCTGATACAGTGGCTTGTCCTCCTGTTAAGAATCCCAATATATTCTGGGCTTCCTCTCTTATCGGCCAAAAAGAACCAGTCAAATTTTGCTCTTTATTTTTATATACTTTTTTTTTTTGAGACAGGGTCTCTCTCTGTTGCCCAGGCTGGAGTGAAGCAGTGTGATCATAGTTCACTGCAGCCTCGACCTCCTGGGCTCAAGTGAGGCCCCACTGCAGCCTCCTGAGTAGTTGGGACTACAGGTGTGCATCACCACACTCAGCTAATTTTTTAATTTTTTGTGGAGATGGGGTCTTGCTGTGTTGCCCAGGTTGGTCTTGAACTCCTGGGCTCAAGTCATCCTTCCACCTTAGCCTCTCAAAGTATTGGGATTACAGACATGAACTACCACACCCAGCTGAACTGTACTTTTTATAGTTTTATCCCCAAAACAGTACTTCCAGTATCCCTGACATAAATATAACCTTGAGAAGGCTTTTTCAAATTGCATACAATGCCCACCTTTTCCATCCTAGCCACAGTTATTTTTATGATTATCATCTTGTATTTCTCACACTGTTTTCACATGAGAAACTTAAAATTGTCTATGAATCCGTCTAATTTCATGAATTCTTCTGGCAATCCTGTGGAGGAGATGCAAGGCTTTGATAATGTAAAATTCCAAATATTATAGTATCTAGTGACCCAGTGTGATTCACTCAAACAACAGAGGAAACAGGCCCTTATAAAGTTAGCATTTGCTGTTTGTTTCCATGGTTCTCAAAGCTTGAGTCAGGTACCACTTCAGCCTGGAGTTGCTGTAGAATGAGCCCCCAGTAGAAGGAAGCATCACCCATTGAAACAAGGGTGCATCTTTCTTTTTCAGGCTTCATTTGGTTTCCACTGAATACCCTTATTTTGCACATGTCAACAAAGAAAATATTTCTATTATGGGCCGGGCGCGGTGGCTCATGCCTGTAATTCTAGCACTTCAGAAGGCCGAGGTGGGAGGATCACTTGAGTTCAGGAGTTCGAGACCAGCCCAGCCAACGTGGTGAAACCCCATCTCCACTAAAAAAACAAAAATTAACTGGGCTTGGTGGTACACGCCTGTAGTCCCAGCTACTTGGGAGGCTGAGGCAGGAGAATAGTTTAAACCTGGGATGGGGAGGTTGCAGTGAGCCAAGATTGTGCCACTGCACTCCAGCCTGGGCAACGGAGTGAAACTTCATCTCAAAAAAAAAAAGGAAAAGAAAAACGAAAACATTTCCATTATGGTTATAGTCAAGGTGTTTTGTGTTTTATTCTTTTTCTCACTTCCCATTTAAAAATTATCAAGTAATCATGTCAATTAAGTTTCTGTTTGCCTACGTAGCCTTTGTTACTGGTTATACTTTCTAGTTGGGATTTTAAGAATTAATTTCTACATCCAGCAATTTGAGAATAATTTGTGCAACTCTGCCCTATTTTTTTCTTCTCCTTGCTTTATCCCTCTTTGCTGTGTTTTCTTCTCCTAGCTGATGTCGCTGTTGAAGTGTTCTGATGAACAGTTGGAGAGTAATGTGTCGTCCCCACCTCCTTATGAACGCCCATCATCATCGAGGGTGAACGCATCCTAATACCCGAGCAGAGCAGTTGTCCTCTGTGAGCCAGGAGCCCTCGGGGACTGTGGTTCTCTTCACAGCTGCACCCCTGACTTGTTGTGTGAGCTTGGTGTGCCATTTAGCCTGTTTGTGTCTTTTTATCTCTGCTCTGAACTATACATGTCCCCCATCAATCTAGAAAACAATTCCCAAAGAATTATGACATCTTTGTCCTCGCAGACGGTTCATGAGGGTTTAGGAAACACTATGTTAGCAGACGTATTCTCTGGCCCTAGTTCCTTGTGTCGTTGGTACTCACACCGCTCACATGAGTGGGGATTGACTCTCACAGCTCCTGCGTATGTGTGTGTATGGGTGTATTTGTGTGTGTATGTGTGTATGTATGTGTATGTATGTACATGTGTATGTATGTGTATGTGTGCATGTGTGTATGTGCTTGTGTATGTATGTGTATGTGTGTATTGTGTGTGCGTGTATGTGTATGTGTGCATGTATGTGCATGTGTGCATGTGTATTTGTATGTATGTGTATGTGTGCATGTGTGTATGTGCATGTGTGTGTATGTGTGTGCATGTGTGTATGTGCATGTGTGCATGTGTATTTGTGTGTATGTATGTGTATGTGTGCATGTGTGTATGTGCATGTGTGTGTATGTGTGTGCATGTGTATGTGTGCATGTGTGCATGTGTGTATGTGTGTGCATGTGTATGTGTGCATGTGTGCATGTGTATTTGTGTGCATGTGTATTTGTGTGTATGCATGTGTGTGTGTGCATGTGTGTGCGTGCGTGTGTGTGCGTGTGTGTGTATTGTGTGTGTGGGTGTGTATGTGTTTGTGTGTGTGTGTGTGTGTTTACAAACACAGAGAGGCTGAAAATGAAATGCATCCAACAGCAAGTAGACATTTGCTCAAGACCCCTTCTTTGTCATCACACTCCTCTCTGCAAAAATAGAGCCACTGGCCAGTACCCCTATTTAAGACACCCTTATAGTGAATGAACTCTACACTAGCCTCACCTTTTTACCAGAAATATAAGTAACTCATTAATAAATACCCCAGATCTGTTCAATTTTCTTTCTTTTTTTTCACCCTATTACTACAGACACAGTGTTAACAATTTTCTTATTTCTCAAGCACCTACCTGATTCTTTGCCATTCCAAACAATTAAATATTTTTATATCAACATTTGCCTTTCTTGCTCTCTTTTTAAAACTTAATACCCCGAACCCCCTTTAAAACCCTCTGTGCCTTAGTCTTGCCACACAGACGAGAAAAGCGCCAGGTTCAGAGACTGTGCAGGATAGGAACAAAGCTGTCTGCTGAACCATCTGCCTTTTCTTAGCTGTAGAAAAAGAGAGGATTTACAGGTTTAGAAGGAGATTATTTTTCACAGCTTCCAGGCTACCAATATTCTATCCTTGTTTGCAAAATTCCCCCCACAGGTTGAGCAAGTCACTGTGACCTCTACAGAGAAGAAATGCCCCTGAGATGCACTCTCATTTGGAAAGATTCTAAAAAATACAGTTTGGAACTTCCGGGTTTGCCCCAGCCATGTGCAGTCCTGTTTGTGCTTCTCTCCTCCGTGCTAGGAACCTCCACCTTGACTCCCTATTTCTAGCAAACAGAAGGACCGCTGCTGCCTTCCATGAAAGGCATTCTATATCAGAGAGGGGCACGGAGGAAAGGGAATAAAACAAAAGTGAAGTCAATTTGCATTCAGATGTTGGCATTAAGTATTAATAGGGCTTGGGGTGAGGGTAGTTTCTCTTTTATTCATGCTCAGGTTGCCATGGCTGTCTGGGTTTCCAGGGATGGCAGAGGGGGATGGTGAAAAGGAGGAAAGGGCTACTGAGCCTTCGTGGAGCTGTTCAAGGTCAGAGCCTCACCCTGTGCCCTGACACTGTGGCCCAGATGGCTGAGAGCGAGTTCAAGGAACTGAAAGATGCAGAAGTTTCCAGCACAACCAGAGAATATCTGATTGGCTTCTCTTTAACTGATAAAGACCCTTGTGCTTTAAAAACAATACCCTGGCCAGGCATGGTGGCTCATGCCAGTAATCCTAGCACTTTGGGAGGCTGAGGTGGGAGGATCACTTAAGGCCAGGAGTTTGAGACCAGCCTGCGCAACACAGTGAGACCCCCATCTCTAAAAATAATAACTAACAAAAAATAAAAAAAAACAGCAATAACCCAAGCTTAGGCTCAAGAGGGAATATCAGCAGAGAGATAGGAAAGTGAAGAGTGGTACCATGGGATGGCCCAAGTTCAGATACCCTTTGAAGGCAGGGCTGGAGACTGTGTTCGATTGGGAATGGGAGAGGCCCTGTCCTCAGCCTGTGGAGCCACTGGCCCCTGTGCTTTCTTGTTCTAATTCACAGAACCAGGAAAGAGGAGAGGGTGGGATGGGAAGGGCTGGCACCCCTGCTGCATCCACCTCTAGCCTTTGGAAGGCGATCAGGAAGCTGTGCTGATGGTACTGGACGGGCAGCTGCTGACTGAGGAAGCGATGGCTCTGTGCCCAAGGTGGGCTTTGTGACCAGGGGAAGTCCTTTCCAGAGGAAGCCCTTGAAGCCAAGTATCCTATAAGGGGAGGATTCTGTGTCTTCTTTTTCTTACTTTCCTTTTTTGAGAAAGCCTCTAGACTCGTACCACCCGAGTCACTGTTTATTTAGCGCTCTTGCAAGGCTGGCTCTTGTCACCCGTGTCTGAGCCTGTCCCTGCATTAGCCTCTTCCAGGGAAGCCTGGAAATTTCCATCACTCCTCTCTAATGCAACCCTACTCTGCCCCAGCCAGACTGCCCTGGGAATGTGTTAGCTTGACAGCAGAGAGCAGTCGTTCTCATTCTTGACTGCTCACTTGAAGCACCTGGATGGATTTTAAAAGTTCAGATGCCCAGATGATACATGGTGCAGTCAAATCAGAATCTCTAGGGGTGGATCCCAGGCTCGGGAGTTTCTAGAACTCCCCAGGGTGATTCCAATGGCTGCCAAGCTTGAGGGTCAGCATGGGGCTTCTGAGTGCATCCAGATTGCCTGGACTCGATTCTCATCTCTGCCACTGGTACTAGTCTTGGCCCAGTTATTTTCCACGTCTGCCACAGTTTCCTCATCTGTAAAATGCAAATCATAACGGTACCAATAGCATATAGCATTAGTATGAGGATTAAATAAGTTAATATGTGCTACGGGCTTGGAAAGTGGCTGGCACAGTCAGTGCTCTAAGTGTTTGCCGTGTGTGATGCCAGGGAGCACATCTTAAGAGGGACTTGGGCAAGAGGAACAGGCAGGGGACAGAACCTGAGGATGTGTCTCACGAGCAGAAGTGTAAAGACCTGGAGGTGTATTTCTCCTGGAAAGGAGGAGGCTTTGTTGAGATAGGATGGTCATCTTCAGATTCCTATCAGATGGGAAAGAAATGACGCTTGTTCTGCATGACTGTGGAGGAAAGAACAAGGATTCAGTAGCGAAGAGTTTCCAGCAGAGCCATTCATTCACTCTGCAGTGAGATGGACAGTGTCAGGAGGAGTGACTTCCCAGGCTCTGGGATGTTCTAGCAGCATTGCGTCAGTTTTTGGTGGAAAGGTTATAGGAGGAATCGGAATGGAACGGAAGGACTTTCAAGGCCTTTTCTAGCCCATGCCTTGCATGTACTGAGCAGTGCTAAATGTTAGTTGTTATGAAATGCTGTCTTGAAGTGGGCAAGGCCTGGCAGGGGATGGTGGTGGAGGCTATCATTGAGTCTAAAACTGTGTCCAAGAGAGTACTAGGCTGAGCATGGAGGCTCAAGCCTGTAATCCCAGCAATTTGGGAGGCTGAGGTGGGAGGATCGCTTGAGCCCAGGAGTTTGAGATCGCTTGGGCAACACAGTGACAGCCCATCTCTACAAAAAATAAAAAAAATTAGCCAGGTTTAGCGGGGAGCAACCGTAGCCCTGGCAACTTGGGGGAGGCTGAGGGTGGAGGATCCCTTGAACTCAGAAGTTGAAGGCTGTAGTGAGCCATGATTGCACCACGGCACTGCAGCCTAGGCAACAGAGGAAGGCCTTGTCTCAAAAAAAAAAAAAAGAAAAAAAGAGAAGACCAAGGTCAAATGAGGTGGAGTCAAACCTGTTCTCAAATTGAGGGGTGAACACGGGGGCTGGGGTTGGAACCTGGCCCGTGCAGGCATTGGAGAGGAGCCAGTTAAGACGCCTGCCTAGGCCGGGCGCGGTGGCTCACGCCTGTAATCCCAGCACTTTGGGAGGCCGAGGCGGGCGGATCAGGAGGTCAGGAGATCGAGACCATCCTGGCTAAAACGGTGAAACCCCATCTCTACTAAAAATACAAAAAATTAGGTGGGCGTGGTGGTGGGCACCTGTAGTCCCAGCTACTCGGGAGGCAGAGGCAGGAGAATGGCGTGAACCTGGGAGGCGGAACTTGCAGTGAGCCAAGATCGCGCCACTGCACTCCAGCCTGGGCGACAGAGCGAGACGCCGCTCAAAAAAAAAAAAAAGACACCTGCCTAGGGGTGAGTATCGGGCTTCTGCTGTGAGGAGGGGTCGAGATACCTACAGGCCCTCTACTGTTAGTTCTGGACACAGGATAGATGGCTGGGCTGGCTTTGTTTAAGGCATAGGGTCAAAGAAGACACTTTCTAAATCTCAAGAGCTCAGCCTTAGTAGGTTTCCACCCAGGACGTCCGTGCGCCATACCGTGCCCTGTGCCTTCTTCACTCCCTCTGGCCTCCCTCTCTGTACAGATTCCTAGCATTTTGCCTACCCTGGGGGAATTCTACCCAGCCTATTTCACTTGACTTTTCCTTTTGGCGTGGGGCAGAGACAGCACTAGTTGTGACACTATGGTATTTCACTAAAAATCAAGCCACATGTCCCTTTTACTAAGTCAGCCCCACTCTCACCCTCTAGTGTTTGCCCAGCACATGTTCAGCCACATCCCTTGTGTGAGCTTGGTGGGTGGCTTCCGCACGGCGCCTGGTCCTCATTCTGCCCCACCCCTGCTACCCTCCTCTGCAGGGCTTCAGGGTTGTGATCCTCGGTCCTACTTCTCCCTGGCTGACCTGACCCCTTCAAGCCCAGTGACCCCCTTCCCTCAGCGTCTCTGCCACTCTGCATAGCCACACCCCGTAGGAGGCTCCACCCTCCGGATGGCCATCTCGGAAATGGCTTTGTAGCCACCACCCCGTCCTTCCATGGGTCCCACTCACTCGTTCCTGCTAAGCCTCTTCTTCGCCTTTATCGCGGCCCCTGGAGCCCCTCCTTGTGTTTGGCACTGTGGACCCGTCCTGGTTGCATCTGTTCCCTCCCTCCCTCCCTTTGTGGTGAAATGATTTGGCAAAGTTCTCAAAAGCACCTCCCTTTTCTTACCCTCTTGACCTTCCCCTGTGTCTCCCTGGGCAATCCTTTCATCTACTCCTGATCCCAAAGTGCTGAATTCCACTGAAGAGATTTGTGCCCCGAAAGTAATTGGACGCCCTGCCCAGTCCTGCTGGGGACGCTCCCAGTGCCTTCAGGCATGGTCCTCTGACTCCGTTTTTAGCTCCCTATCAGATTCCCAGGACAGCTGCTCCAAATCTTTTCCACTCTCCTCCAGCCCTAACTGACCCTGCTCGTTCCCCTCTCCAGAACAGACCTCTTCACTGCATTGGCTAAGCAAACCACCCCTCCCCACTACGGAGATTGCTGACTTTTTTTTTTTTTTAATGGGGATAATTTCTCATTCTCTTTTTCTTTCATTTTGTTTTGGGGGAGAAATGTTCCTTATTCTTTCTAAGGCTAAAGCCCCCACCCTTGCTGCTAACCTTCTCTTTATTTATTTATTTATTTTTATTTTTGAGACAGGGTCTCACTGTCACCCAGGCTGGAGTGAAGTGGTGCAATCATAGCTCTCTGCAGCCTTGACCTCCCAGGCTCAAATGATCCTCCTGCCCCAGCCTCCTGAGTAGCTGGGACTACAGGCGTGAGCCACGGTGCCTGGTCTCTCTTCTTTCTCTGCGATCCTGCTCAGCTGTCACTTCTTCTCATCTTAAACCTCCTTTTCCTCTGAGCCCTGAATCTTGAGACTTTCTCTAGTTTCCTTCATCTTACAAAACAACCAGCAGCAAAGCTCTTATCTTGTTTTCCTCCTGCCTCCCTCCTTTCTCTGTCATCTTCCTCATTTTCTCAACCCCTTACCATCCGAGTTCCCCTGTCCCCATGAACTAGCCACACGGAGCTAATGTCCCTAAACTATGCCTTGCCATCTCCCCCTCCCAGGGAGGCAGCCGGCGAAGTGGAGAAAGTCCTGGCATTGGAGTCAGCCTTGCAGGGGTTCACATCTGGGCTTTGCCCCGTATGCGTTATATACTCCTGACCCTCATTTGATACATTTTTAATCTTTCCGAAGTCCAGTTCCCTCCTCTGAAAAATGGAAGCAGTGATACCTAATTTATTTGGTTGTTGTGAGTATAAATGAATTTATACTTCTAAAGTGTCCAACATACAGTTGGTGTAAAATTTTAAAAAATGATTCCCATTTATCCCTTGCTTTAGCTAATGCTGATTCCTTCATGCGGTATGCCTTTGCCTTCTTCCACGTACCTGTTGGATTTCCACCCGCCTCTCAAGGACTAGGTACTTCCTTCCCTTTTCAGCTGCTGGGCCCAAGTCCTTGAAGTTATTTTTCCCTCTGAACCTTGTTTCTCTATTGCAGCAGGTGCTGTGGTCTGCCTTGTATCAGGATCGTTGGTACATGTTTGTCTGGCCTGCATACAATCAGGAGCCTCTGGGGGCAGCGATATTGAACTCACCTTTGCATCCCTCTAGAGTACCTTTGGAGAGTCTTGCATATAACAGTTCCTCAGTGACAGCTAAATTTAAAAGAATTGCTTGCTGTGAGTATACCTTAATAATTTGAAAAACAATTCTAGCTGATTTGGTTCCCACACATGAATATACTTCCAAATCTTGTAGAGTTTACAATGAAATAGAGATTTACAATGTAAAGGTCTTCTAATGAACACCCTCAGGTCTGGCCAGATTTTGGGAGGTCCTTATGCTGCCTTGTGGACATTATTTGTCTTCAGGTTACTAAGGTCCTGTGTCGGCAAGTAGTTAAGACATTCGCTGCCTGGTGGAATTGATCACATTTCTCGTGTTAAAGGAAATGGCCAGGCTAGCAGATATCTGAGATTCCTTCCAACTTGAACGAACTATGACTCAGTGATCATGTTTAGAGTGTGATGTAATGAAGATACTCATTTGTAAAAGTGACCAAGGATGCTTCTCATGTTTGTCCTGTAATGAAAGTTCAAAAAGAAGGGTTAGGGTTAGGTTAGGGTTTAAGGTTAGGCTTGGGGGCTGTTTTCTCAAGTGCATTAGTTAATTCATTTTTTTCATGCCATCAATACTGAGCACGGACTGTGTGTGCCCAGTTTGGTGTTGGGCACTGGGAACAAGACAAGTCAAGCTCAGTCTCAGCATAACCCAGTTGGCATCTGGCACACTCTTCTTGGGAAATAGAGACAGATGCATGGAGGTGGGCCGTGGGCTGGGCGACTGCCTGGGCTTAGTGGCCAGTGTCAGAGAGGACAGTCTGGAGGGACAGTCTTCAGCAGTAGTAGCACCTGCCCCTCCTGGCAGGACCCTCCACATGGTTACTCGGGTCATGAGTCCCTGGGCTTGTCACATTATCCACAGGCCGGCTGAAATGCCTTCTGCTATACACACCACGCTTCCCTCAATTCATCTTTCAATCTGGAGGATTTACAAAGATTTATACCATTAAGAGCAAGATCTCAACAACATGCCGTATGGGGAAAACCTGTTTTGCTTCTGCCCTTATAGGTATTAGTCTGTAAGCTCTTCTGGGCAGGGACCCATTTTCTGTGTCATGGTTCTCTGTGCAAAGCTTTATTCCTTCTAAGGGCCAGGGTTTCACATGTTTGGGTCTATTCCTCTATCCAGGATTAACATGGAGGAACCATTGACCAATGGTAATTTACATTTTATATTGAGGCACGTGGGTCTGAGTCCTATCTTATATCCCCTAAGAAAACCTAAAGACAGGAGGAGTTGAGGACGCCAGTTTTTCTTAGCGTTGAGCCTGCGTCTTGCTGAGGAGCACCTGGGCTGAGATGCGCTCATCTTCCTCACAGCCTGGAGGCCATGGTTTTTGATTCTCCAGGGGTCTGGAGGCAAGAATGGAGGACAGATGGGAGGGTCAGTGGCCTCTTCTGTGTGTTCCCTGCACCTGGCCACAAATCAGATGGGCATGCGTCATGGGTGAACTGCTGTCAAGGACAGGGAAGTCACAGTACTGCCATCTGGGCTGTGGCAGGAAAGGGATACATGGAATCTTTCCCAGTTCTTGGTGATTTTGCAGGACCTTGTGAATCCCTTTTCTTCTCTCCTACTGGCCATCTCCCTCTATAGTGGACCACCTGTCAGAAACCCATGTGAAGAGACCCAGATTCACCCCCGTGTCCACATAGACAAAGCAGAGGGGAGGGGAAGGTAGAGAATGGGGAAAGGATGGTGGTCCTAATGCTTTCTCTAAGTGGGTCAGGAGCAGGAGAGAGAGGAGGGCAGGTAGAGTGCAAATAATCACAAAATAATTTTTTTATTTTTAGCCAACAAAATGAATCAAACAGCAACTACTATTTGTTGATGACCTATTATGTTTCTAAGTACTTTATTATTATTATTATTTTTGAGATGGAGTCTCGCTCTGCCACCCAGGCTGGAGTGCAGTGGTACAATCTCTGCTCACTGTAACCTCTGCTTCCCAGGTTTAAGTCATTCTCCTGCCTCAGCCTCCCGAGTAGCTGGAATTACAGGCCCACGCCACCACACCTGGCTAATTTTTGTATTTTTAGTAGAGACAGGGTTTTGCCCTGTTGGCCAGTCTCGTCTTGAACTCCTGACCTCAGGTGATCCGCCTGCCTTGGCCTCCCAAAGTGCTGGGATTACAGGTGTGAGCCAACATGCTTGGCCTGTTTCTAGGTACTTTATCTTACAATAGCCATATGGTAGATCCTGTGTCCATTTTACCTATGAGGACACTAAGGCTGAGAGGCTGAGTAACTTATCTTCGCTAGTCACGGAGCTAGTAATAGGCACGTCTCTCTGACTTCAAAGCTCATGTTTCTTCTTGTTCAACTGCCTCTGTGAAGTCTTAATTCAGAAAACTCTTCTGTGAGGTATATCCAGGGTCCATAAACATTTTACGTGAATCTTCTGTGGCTTTTACGATACATCCGTGTGTGTGTGTACATATATACCTATATAGACATGTGAAATGGAATGTAAGGGAGACTTCTGTTGTCTACGACAGGCAGAGCCTTCCTGGGGCTTTTTCCCAGTGGAACCATTGAATTCTTAGGTCCTGAAACTGGATTTGGTCAGTTAAATGTTGACCAAAGGTCTGACTCATGCTAACCAAATTGACTGAAAAAAAAAGTGTCCCTGAGCCCAAATAAGGTTTTTAACCTAATTCTATATGAAAATGTCAATGATCTGTAACCCACCTAATCCGAATTCTCTTTATCCTCAGTGCACTGGTCCAAGCCACCTTCACCTCTGAATTATCACAACAGCCTCCTCGTACTTCCTGCATCTATCTTTGCCACCTCAGCCTCCTTCCCTAATCCAATCCTGAGGTGCACACTTGAAAAACTAATATTTTAGTTAATAAATTCGGAATACCTTTCTAGGTTAGTGAAATTATTTTCCACTGGAAGGAACGTGGCTTAAAAATCAGGGCCAGTCATTTGCCCAAGGCCCTTCCATCTAGTGGGCTGATCTTGCTGTGCTATGCCAGAGACGTGGGCAGGTGGTAGCTTGACGTACAGAGAATTAGAACAAAAGGAACAGTCTCTGCACGCAGTATTTCTGTCTGGCAGTGATGCCCTGATAGATTGTCAGGTATCCTGACTGCTAACTTAGTCTTCTTTGCATATAGTACATCCAATGTTTGCTTAACTAGAAAATGCCGTTCTGGATAACTGAGATTTCATGGTATGCTCTGTTTTGCAATAAGGCCATGGCTACATTCCCAAGAAACCTTGGGTTATGAAAATCTAAATTAAAAAATGATTATTTCTTTTTCATGGCTCCTTAAGTGTCAACTTGATAAAAAAATAATTATTTCAATGGTTAAAAAAGGGAGACACTTTCCCACAAATTATTTGTTTTTTGCAGGCATTGCCATTGTAAAGGTATTTGATATATTTTGTTACTGAAAACTTAAAACTGAATTGTTTAATCAAAATGGGCAAAAACAATCCTAAATATCACAGGAGAAAGCCTATACAGCATACAAGATGGGAAATAAAAATCCATGTATTTACAAATAAGGAAAGTACGTTGTAGCAAACAAAGCTCATGGCCCCCAGTGGAGAGTAGAGAAGCAAGATGGCGCCTGGACCATCGGCCACTTAAACCAAACGTGCCTATGAATGCACTCAGCCTTTTCTCTTCCTTGCACAGTGCCAGTGCCTGTTTGTGATCATGATAAAACCAAGCATGATAGGGTTGTGGTTTCAATATATCCCCTAAAGCTCATGTGTTGGAAACTTGAAGCCCAATGCAGTGATGTTTGTAGATGGGGCCTAATGGGAGGTGTTTGGGTCGTGGAGGCCCCACTCTCATGAATGGATTAATGCCATTTTCTCAGAAGTGGGTTCATTATCCTGGGAGTGGGTTCTTTATTAAAAAAACAAGTCAGGGCTCCCCTACCACCTGCCTTCTGCCATGGGATGACTCAAGAAGGCCTTGCCAGATGTTGGCTTCTCAATCTTGGACTTCCCAGCCTCCAGAATCATGAGCCAATACATTCCTGTTTATTATACATTACCCAGTCTCAGATATTTTGTTATTGCAGCACAAAATGGACTAAGACAATATGTGTAATGCAAATCATGCTCCCATCAGTATCACTTTATTTCTTATTCACATTAAAAAATATGTACCATAGAAGCTATATCTATACATATGGTCATTACTGCTTCTGTGAATCAACCAGAAAATTTTTTAAAAAAAGAACATAGAGAACATGTTTTTGCTCTTTCTAATGTGGCATACCAGTCTTTATGTCAAAGTGTGGCCCCTCAAAGGACAGGCTGCAGGAAAGGATACACAGTGGACATCACTGTGTAACATGATCCTGGGTTCTCAAAGCAGTCTATTCTGTCCAGCGGGGAAGACCACCTTCCATTTGTTAGAACTGAGTGCTTCCCCGAGTGTGCCCCTTTCATTTAGAGGTGCTGCTAAAAGGATGCATTCACATCCACAAGCTGTGTGACGGTTCGTGTCGTATCTGAACGTGAACGACAGGATGGGAGCTTGGGAAGAGTGAAGGGCAAGGGAGAGCGAGAGGAAGACAGGATGATCCAAATCAAATGAAACACATGGGAACAACCTCCTTCCATATCCCCAAACTGCAACACTGGACAGGAAAAATCCAAAATTGTTGTAGGCGCATCCTATCTTTAGGAACAACGAGATAGCGTACACTCAGAAACCCCCAAGAGGAAAAGAAGTGAATTTGTCTCAGAAGAGAATGTTCTAGACAATGTCATAAAATGTGCAAGAGAACATTTACTTTTGACCAAAGCTGAAAGAAGAAATGTGGCCAGTGCACAGGGGTGATAGAGAGTAGGTACCCTTGTCCTAAGGAGTTTTGAGAAAGCTACAGTCTTCTGCTGGCACCTGGGGCTTATCCATTGCCATAGGAACCATTCATCTTATTGCTGAAGTTCTAAGTGATTTGAGATGAAGAATGTTTGCTTGAACACATTTTACCCTGTGGTCATCCTTCCGCATACAACTCTACCCTCAAAGCCGGAGTGCTTCCTGCTGCTGTGGAGCCGGGGTGCTGCAAACTTCTGGGATATTCCACAATTTAATGCCAGTGATTAGGATTTTTGTTAGGAAACTCCGGCAGGCAGATAACTCCAGCAGGTCCGAGACAAGTTGGTGTAAACGTTGGCACGGACTGGCTCACCTGTTGTGTGATTAAGTCATGGGGCTGCCTCTTGTTCTCTTTGGGACAAAGCCAGGCAGCATTTGTTCAAGTGAAAATTAAGGCTCTGTGTGGTGTGTGCCTGTATCAATAGAAACAGGCAAGCAGATTCCGCAGGGGAAAAGACTGAGCAAGTGGGTGGGAGGGACGACCCCGCAGCTGTGTTGAAGGTATCTCAGTCAAGGATGGCTTGGTGGCGAGAAACAAAAACCTACTTAGCTTAAGTGAAGTGGGATTTGTTGTAGGGTGTCAGGGGACCCACGGGGAGCTCAACAGGAGGAAGTGGAGGCTGACATCATGGGAACCTGAAAGCTGTCTGGCAGCTCCTCATGCACTGGCCCAGGCTCTGTCATCTCTAGGGCATGTCTGCCTCATTCCCTTTCTTTGCAGAGTGGGTCTTTACAAGGCCTCTCTCCCATCACAGGGGCCTGCATGTGGACTTGAGGAGGCCGTGGTGCCCAGGAGCGCCCCAACTCAGTATCACCACACAGCTCAGGTACCCAGTACTCCCAACACAGTGGACTCTATTAGGAGTTCTTAAGGCAGGAGTTCATAACCAATGGGAGAGTGGGACCTGGCCATCATGGCTAAATACTGGCATTGGTAGGAGGAATGCAGAGCTCTGATAAGGGCAACAGTAGCACTGGCTGTGAGTTACAGAGAGAATGAGTTGGCGGTATAGCCAGGAGAGGGTTGAAGGGCTGCCAGTTGTATAAAGAGGTTGAGTAATTGAAGGACCTTGTGAGAACAGAGATCAGAAATTTGGAGGTTATTAGGGAACAAGATGGCCCCTGGGGAGAGGTGGATCTTGGAAAGGTTGTGATTTGCTAGGGGAGCAGGTGCTGAGTTAGGCTTGGGTGAGCGCTGGCAGTGGCCAGGCTGGGTATGATGCAGAAACACTCTGATAAGTGTCATTTACATGGGTGGCATAGGGAGAGGCCACTTACTGGCAGAGAACTCGGACTGGAATTGAAAGGGAAGGACGGCCACACCCATCGTCACCACTGAATGGTGGGGGTCAGGGGAGACAAGGCAGGAGGAAGGAGATGTCTTCTCCAAGGAGAGGCAGGAAGCTGAAGAAAGAGGCGGGAGAGGAGGTGTCTGCATGATGGAAAGCTGGCAGAGGTGGCCCCAGTGCATGAGGCAGGGTGAGGAGATGCCGCTGGAAGGAGGCGACGGGGAGGTGGACCGGTGAGGAGGGATGGTTGATAGGGTTAGTACCAGTTGAAATGCCCTGTCTCCCGTAAAGGAGGCAGATAAACCACGTCGCAGAAGCACTGGGTGGAAGTAGGAAAGAGCCACATTAGAGGCAGGGAGGAGTTAACATGGCCTTGGCGGGATATTGCAATTGACTAAGAAAGCAGAGTTAAAGAGGAATGGGTGTGCATGGGCATGCGTGCACACACACACATACATACACACACACACACACACACCCTTGCTTTCTCCAAGGTAAGCTCAGGGATTCTGGAACAAGAGGAATCCTAGGTTTTGTGTCAGAGTGACCCTTACCAGGTGGCTTAGAGCATGCCCAGTCTGAATAAGGTTTGGAATTCTTTGAGGGTCTTGGTGTAACTGGACCCTTGTGGCCTATTACAGTCAAGATCTACACCCCCAGCTGCTTGGAATAAAACAAGTTTCTGATTTGCTTTTTTTCATTTATGCCAAAACATCCTAAACCAAAAAACCAGAAGACACATTATCAATTAAAGTACTAGGGTGTCCAGAGCTGAGACCAAATTGTTCTCCATCATATTTTGCGATATTTACCAACTTGCTTTTGCATGACTCAAGTTTATGTCATCAGATTATTTTGCTTTTAAAGCACTCTACTAAACATATAGCTAACCTTTAAAATTAAATGCATAATTTATACTCATTATAACATATTATGTGGCTTCAGTTACATTGTAATCTTTTGACCACATACTTTAATAGCGCTTGGCTTTTTTGTAAATGCCTAGCAACAATGTATTAGACATTATTGCATCTATTATGTTAACACTCACAATTTGTGTTATTGTAAAGCAGTTTCAAAAAACAGTTGAGCCTACAGTGCACACGAAAGTGATCTGAAAATCTTTTTCAATTTAGACGTAGGACTAAATGTAAAATATAATTCCTGAAGGATCTTAATTACTACAGTCTGTGTGTGTATTTGATAAGACTTGTGGAATCCAATTGTTGTTAAATTTTTATATGATGGACAAGTAGGAATGCTTTGGGGCCCCGTCGCTGTTAATAAAGCTCTGAGTCGCAAATATCACACACTTGTCAGACATGAATGGTCCTTTCTTTCTTAAGCTGCTGTGATGTCATTTTGCCTTATTTGGCTTCTAGCCTGGGTTCTCTTTCCAGTGCAGTCGACAGTGATTAGTCATTTCAGCAGGACTTCCCCATCAACATCTGCTCCACCAGCCAGTTACATGTGAGAAAACGTGGGATGGTGCTTTGAAATTGCAAAGGCTTATTGTGCAGATGGCGGTGAGGAGGAGATCTCGGCTACCCCACATGAAAGACCAGCGCAGTGGAGGATACCTCTCTCCACACCCACACACACGCTCCTGCTCAGCCTGCAGTTGCTCATTCTCTAGAGAATCCTCCCCAGGGAGTTCACACCTGCCTTTGCAAGATGCTTCCATGCACGGATTGGTAAGACATGGTCCTTGCCCTGGAAGAGGCCACTATCTGGGAATACATGTCACTTCCCACGTTTCTGTGCTCACAGCTTCGCCTCCCATCTCTTCCTTTGGAAGGTCCCAGCTACTTTCCAGTGGTCAAAGATTGGTGGCTTCTTTTTGAGCCTTGTCCTGGTTGACTTGTGTGATGGAAAGAGCACTTGAATGGGAGTCAAAATATTTGCTTTAGAATTTTAACTTGGTTTTTCACCCACACTGACCTTTAATTCTTTCAGTCAATGGTTGTTCTTCAACCTGAGCATGGTGGTTGCATTCCTTGGCCTGAGAGCCTTCCTTGGCTTTCCATTGCTTGTGGGGTACATTACCAATTTTATTTTTAGCCTGGCACCCCTTTCCCGTGTTTTCTGCCAGGTTCCCCCAAGCCCATGTGTACTTGGCATTCTCTAAATAATAGTATTTTAGGCCTGGGTTCTTACCGAATCTATACACTTGGTCCATAAGGCCCCTCCTTCCAAATTCTCCCTCTGCTTCTCCCCGCCGCCCCCACTGCTTCCCCCTCATTCTCCAAGGCTCAATTAAAAACTCATATGGTGAAGGCTTCCCCAACCTCCAGGCAAATTGAAGTTTTTATGCTTAATACCCATTTATTCCAACCATATTGCATCTTATAATGTATCATAGCTATTTGCATATTTGTTTATCAGTTTTACTGGATTATGGGCTTCATTATTTCATTTAACCTACTTTCTCATTGTGTCTGGCATTTAATAGGTGCCTAATAAAATTCTATTGATTACAAATGGGTAATTTAACTTCTCCACTTCCCCAGACTGACTACAAGCTTCTGGGGCAGCCAATCTGCTTTTCCTCTGTCTTTTCTCCATAGAACTCAGCTCAGTGACTGTCACATAGTAGATGCTTAATAAATGTTGAAAGTGGTAATGTAAGAAAGTGACTGAATAAAGCAGCAATGCAGTATTTGCTAGACAATATTCCAAGTTGAGGGGTGAAGTGGGAGAAAGATGGTAACAATGTTAATTTTAGGGATGGAGAACCTGCAGGAAAAAGGACATCTTGTGGGCATGACTCTAGGCTGTGTAGTTTGCTACTCATTTCACTTCTGTGGCCACTCCCCCCGGATCTCATCTCAGGTAATGCCAGTGCACTCTGTCGACAAGGCCACGTTCCCCACTGACTCACCTCACAGAAGCCTTTGGGTCTTAGGAGAGCCAAAGATTCTCGCCAACTGAGCACCTCCACCAGGTGGAACGTGGGCAAATGGGAGAATAACCTTAATGATCCTTGTCGCCCCCAGAAGGTCAGGGCTTGTTTATTACCTGAGTCCTAAGGCCCTTGCTGTTTCTGCCCTGCTGGAGATCACAGTGGACCCCAGCTCAGTCCAGCTTCCCACCAGGGCAGCAGGCCCTATGTGACCAACACAGAGTCTTCATTAGAAAGTGTGGGTTTCTATTTTTCAGTTTTTCATTTTTGGAACCCGGCTCACTTGCTCTGTAACATTTAACAGTTTCTGTTGCTGTGTTCCAGGCATTTTGCTAGGGGCTGGCACCCAGTGATGGGTCCAGTGAATGCAGTCCCTGGTCTCAGGGGCTCTCAGGCCAGGAGGGGAGGCTGCAGACGCTCACACATTGGCCCACACTGGACTAGCACGCAGGTGGGGTGCTCTGCAGGGGAGGTGGGACCAAGCACACAGTGCACAAACGAGGGGCCTAGGGAGGCCTGGGAAGTGACTTGGCCCCCAGGGCCTTCTGTCTGGACTGATGACTCAGGGCAGCCAGGCCGGAGAGACAGGGCAGGCCACTGAGAACGAATCAAGTAAGAGGCTAATGGAGGCAACAGTACAGGGAATAGGAAAGAACTTCCAGAGTGTTCTTTTCTCTGCCCACGTGGCAAGGTGAAACTTATGGCTAGGTAGACTTCTACTCTGTTATACCAAGTGCTGCCTGCCTCCTTCTGCTTTCCTTCCTCCCAAAAGTTTAACTCTGTCTCCATTTTCTCTCCATGAGCACAGGCATGTGGAAGTGTGGCATCACACACACACACCCACACCCACACACCCACACCCACACACACCCACACACACACACACACACACACACACACACAGCCGTGGTCTCTACTCCAGCTGTCAGAATGTCTGATTTTTGGGAGGGGTGGACTCACCTTTCCTCTGCCTTATCACCTCCAGCTAGTGAGGTTTTGTTCCTACTGAAACAGTAGAGAACAAAGAGAAAGAGGCTAGGGGAAACTCAGAGCTCCAGCAAACAGAAGGGATGGAGAAAGTTCAGCTGCTTTGTCGTGGTTGTTATGCAACCACTTTGCTAGCCCTTACCTGGAAAAGAAAAAGTGGAATTGTATTTTTGGACTGCTAGAGCTGGTATAAAGAGTGAAACTATCGTAAACGGTAAAATGATAATATCAATTTCCTTATTTTACGGATTTCATAACTCAGGCAGAAGAGGAGTTAAATTGTAATAGTGCAAGGAAGTAGCAGAGCAAAAGTCACTGTCTGTTTCTTGGAACGATTTCTGCCTAACCAGTGATCATTTCTCAAGCCCTCTGAAAGCATGCCAAAAGCTGTCTGCAAAAGTAGCAACGGCCGAGCAGCCAGTACGGGGTGTTCTTGTCTTTGGGTGAAATGCTGAGCAGTTTTTGCAGTTTTCTCTTTAACTGGCTTTTTATTTGCTTTCATTTTAAGCAGTGCCTTCGTGTGGAAAGTGCACTGAACTAAGACTCAGAATATCTGAGTTCTAGTTCTACCCGGCCACAGCAAACTACCTGCCTTCTGGAGGCTGGGATTTCTCACCCATGAAAGCAGAAACAATCCAATTAGAGCTCTTTCATGGTCCATCCTAATTCAGGGGGCCAGGGTTTGGCAAACTACTGCCCACAGGCGGGGCAATCTGGCCACCGCCTGTTTATGTACTGTTCACAAGCTAAGAGTGGTTTTACATTTTTTCAATGTCTAAAAGAATCAAAGGAGAATAGTATTCCATGATACATAAAATGATATGACTTCAAATATCAGGATCTATAAATAAAGTTTTATTAGAACACTGATCTACTCACTCATTTGCATATGGTCTGGGGCTGCTTTCCCAGGGCAATGGCAGAGCTGTGTAGTTGCCATAGAGACCGTATGGCCAGCAGAGTTCACTCTCTACCTGATCCTTTAGAGAAAAGCTGTCCCTGTTGGCCACAGTACAACCTACTATCTTATTTTCTGCATTTATGAAAATAATAAAACCTCATTGAGTTACTGTAAGAATGAAATGAAATAATGGATGTGAAAGAATTGTGACCAAGCTAAAAGCATAAATACTCATCAGATGCACCTCAAATGAATTGAGGTGCATATTTATTATGCACCCAATATGATGCATAGATACCCAGCTACTAGGTGTTGCTAGCTGGAGGAGAAACAAGCCCTTACTAATAATATGCACAAAAACTAATGATATTTTTATTCAGCAGTGTTGAAAACATACAGGATAGGATTGCAGAGGTGGGAAATTATGTGTGCGTCTGGAAGGGAAAATAACAAGAACTTATTTGTCAGATTGGTGTAATTCTAAGTGAATTTTTAAATGTCTCCGTTAAACTACTGTTATAATTCTGTTTAAAAATAAATAAGAGTTTAGTGGGATATGATGGTGCAGGCCTGTAGTCCCAGCTACTCGGGAGGCTCAGGTGTGAGGACCTCTTGAGCCCAGGAGATGGAGGTTGCAGTGAGCAGAGATTGTGCCACTGCACTCCAGCCTGGGCGACAGAGAGAATCCCTGTCTCAAATAAATAAATAAATAAATAAATAAATAAATAAATAAATAGATAAATAAATAAATAAATGCAAAAGGAAAGTACCTGCCCCCCAAACTTGTTTCAATACTAATGTTTTAAAAAGGCTTTTTATTTCCAAAGTGAATGCTGAACTGCAAGGGGTAAGGTCTAATTGTCTGTATATTCCATCCTCAATTGTCTGCAGGCAGCACTGTGTCTCAAACACTTGAAAGATTTATATTGAAATATTAGAAACAAAATACACTTTTAGAAGAATTACAATAGCTGAGATCTATGGTTTTTGTTACAATAATATTGGAATAACCTGTCACCAATTAGACAGCTCATCTTTTACATATGTGTTTAACAAGAAAAGCAAAATTCCCCTTGTTAAAATTAACTTATTCAGAAAGTTGCAGGGGTTGGGGTGGGAGAGTGAACATTTAAAATGGGATTGAGTCAATTTCAGGGTTGGCAAAATGCAGAGGGATTGAATTTTCCCATGAGAGATTCAGAGGTTACATGTGCCAAAGAATAATCTAGAAACAGCAGAGCTTGGGGTTTTGCATCTTGTTCTGATAGTGACTGTCTAGAAAGCTTCCAGATCAACTCAGTTTGTCTCCCTCTGGTATCTTAACTAGTAAAAATGATGTTCTTGGCTGGGTGCAGTGACTCACACCTGTAATCCCAGCACTTTGGGAGGCCAAGGTGGGAGGATTGCTTGAACCCAGGAGTTTGAGGCCATCCTGGGCAACGAGCGAGACCCACGTCTCTACAGGAATAATTTAAAAACACTAGCCAAACGTGGTGGTGCGTGCCTGTGGTCCCAGCTACTTGGGAGTCTGAGGTGGGAGGATTGCTTGAACCCAGGAGTTTTAAGACCAGCCTGGGCAACATAGGGAGACTCTGTCTCTATTTTGTAATTTATAATTTTTAAAAAATAAAACAAAATAAAATAAAAGTGATGTTCTTTCCCCATGAAAGTGATCAGCTGTCGGGTTCACCTGGTGGAGTTTGCTGCAGGGGCAAAGCCTTATTGTGAGCTGTGAATGAATTCATCTGCACAGAAAGCAGGGTTGCCCCTCTTCCTGTCCCAAGGTGCAGGGTGGCTGGGCACCCCAGGGAGCTGGGCTACTGACTCCTGCGTCAGTGAAATGGTTCCTTCTGGTATTAGCTGCGGGACCTCGGGCAAGCCATGGAAACTGCTGAACCTTGACTTCCTCATCTTTGAATGCGGTGGATCTAAGCATGTTGACCGAGAACTATCCATGGAAGAGGGCAGACACCCTGCCTGGCACATAGTACTCTTTCAATACATGGTAGCTATTCTTATTAGCATAGGTGGTGAGGTAGCCAAAAAGCAGGAACAAAACAAATACTTCCTGAGGTTGGTAGGGGTTCAGGCAATTGCCCTTCTGTTTCTTTAAGCCCTGGATCAAGTGGTGAAGGAAGGCTGTCCAGCTCACTGGTTCGTAAGGGCTGAAAATGTCTGGCAGAACTTATTATCAAATTTACATCTTCATAGAGTGCCTTAGGCAGAAGGCAGTTCTTCAGCACTTGATGAGTGACTTTTTTCTCCTTAATATCCATCAAACAGAATAATAAAGTACACACTAGTCATTCGATGTGTCAGGAATGGCCAATAAACAATGACAAAGGATCTTTTACATTCTCACAATAAACACTGCTGTTCCTTCTCACCATCTTCCTTGATAAACACCATCTGGAGTTAGCTTTCCCCAAGAGGCAGCTCGCTGCCATGATGTAGGATGAAGTCGGTGGCCTCCTGAAGATTTATTTCTGCCTTTAAAAAAAATGTAAAGCATGGTAGCTGGTGGGGCTCCGCTCCCTGTTTTGGGGCCCTGGGTTCTAGCACTTCCCTTTCTGACTTGGGAGCCAACTTTAGGCAATGACCTATTTATTTTTCTGTCACTGCTGCTGCCTTTTGCTCTCCATTACAGGAGGGGCCGAACTGGCTGTGGGGAGTTGGGCGTTTTGCATGGGGGGATTTGGGGGCAGTTGCTGGGTGTGAGAGTGGCAAATGGAGGCGATGAGAAAGAGGATTTAAATTGTCAGTTCTGATAATGAATGGACACTCCCTCTTTGGTGTTTTTATGAGAAACAACAGTAGAGAATGAAATATATTTTTGGATGTTGCACTAGTGTTTAATTGAATGCTACATTGGACCATAACGGGGCCACCACTGTAAGCTCCTGCCTCATCCCCAGTGCCTAGAACAGGGCTGGGCACACTGAAGTGCTTAGGGAGGATTTGTTGAATAAATTGCCCTCCTCCTCCTTCCAGGTATGAATCTTATGAACTTAATGCCACAGATCTATAAATCTCCTTTTCAAGGAAGGAGCCAGTTATCAAAACTCTCTTTTGGCTGTTCTCTGCTCTTTCAATCTGTTCAGGCTGCTATACTAAAGCTACCTTAAACTGGGCAGCTTATAAACAACAGAAATCTATTTCTCACAGTTCTAGAGGCTGAGAAGTCCAAGGTCAAGGTGCCGGCAGATGCAGTGTCTGGTGAGCGTCCTATTTCTGTCTCATAAATGCTGTCTTCTCATCGTTTCTTCATGTGGTAGAAGGAGCAAGCATCTCTGTTATAAGGGCCCAAATCCCTTAGGGCAGTGATTGTGCCACTGCACTCCAGCCTGGATGACAGAGTGGGACGCTGTCTCAAAAAGAAAAAAAGAAAAAGAAAAAGAAAGCTAGGAGAGTCAGGCCATTGAGCTGAGCCGCATAGGAAGGTGAGAAGGTTGCCAGGTAGATGATGCAGGAAAAGGAGGGGAAGGGAAGATCGCAATGAGCCCAAGTGAGGACACACAGATATGCGTGGTCTTTTGCAGACACAAACTAGTTTTGTGTGGCTGAGGGATTGTAACATGCAGGCTTCATGAAGGAGAAAGAGGGGAGCAAGAACATGGGAGGAGATATCCTATTCCAAGTCCAGCCTGTTGCAGGTTGGGCTGTCCACACGCTGAGATGAAGTTTACGAGCAATCTAGGCCAATGAAGGGGGAGGAAGCAGGGCTGAACAGACGCAGACTTTGAATCGCACCTGAGACCTCTCAAAGCTTCAGCCAACCTAGTGGTAGGGCTATCCACCTCCTTGCTTTGGGTGTCTCTAATGGCAAGTGGGGAAGTCAGGCCCCACTGGCCCCGACACCAGCTGTCTAGTCTGCTTCAAGTTCTTTTTGGAAGGTCCTGGTTGGGATGGTGGCATCCACTGAGGCTCTCATTAACCCCTCTGTGACAGTGAACATGGATGCTACACCTGGACCAAGACCCAACTGGGGTCAAGAGACTCACATTGTGAAATCTGCAGGCCAACTCAGTATGGCTCTGGCACTGTGCGTGTTGCCTGGAAGTTGTGGGATGCTGTTCATAGCCCAAGGGCAGTGCCCACCCTCCCTCGCACACCCCTCGACTTGGTTGCAAACACATGTTTGAGCTCCGTGCTCCCTTCCCTATTCCCTTATCATTGAATGATTGACAGGCTGCCACATATGACATTTCCGATGGCCCATAGGAGGGCTGTGAGCACCACATGAAGGACACACCGGGACGTAGTCCAGCTCCAGGGTGCATCCACTACAAAGAAAAAGCTTGCCTGAGGGCTGTTTGTTTCGGAAGCTGGGTGAGGATGAAGCATGGCAAGGAGCAAGGGACAGAGTTGTGATTCATTTCTCTTATTATCAGGCCCTGCCAAAGATGCATCCTGTTTTTTTTAACATCCCACTTCCTGGGTCTAGATCCTGGCACAAGCATTTCCTAGCTGTGTGGCTTTGGTCAAGTTACTTGCCTTCTCTGTGCTGCAGTTTCCTCACATTTAAAACAGGAACAGTAATGAACGACAATGATAACTTGGTAGAGCTGTGGAAATCATTAGGAAGGTTAAATGCCTTAAGACTAAAGTGCTTAGAATGAGGTCTAACATGCTAGAAAAGTTAGCTCTTATCATGAATATTTTAAAGCCACACAAAGATACAACCCCGGCCGGGTGCAGTGGCTCACCTGTAATCCCAGCACTTTGGGAGGCCGAAGCAGGTGGATCACTTAAGGTCAGGAGTTTGAGACCAGCCTGGCCAGCATGGTGAAACCCTGTCCCTACTAAAAATACAAAAATTAGCTGGACATCGTGGTGCACGCCTGCAGTCCCAGCTACTCGGGAGGCTGAGGCGGGAGAATCGCTTGAACCCAGGAGGCAGAGGTTGCAGTGAGTCGAGATCATGCCACTGCATTCCAGCCTGGGCAACAGAGTGAGACTCTGTCTCGAAAAAAAAAAAAAAAGATGCATGGAAGGCCTGGGAAGAAAAGGGGATGTGCTGGGAGGAGAGAGATGGGAATGGATGTGATACTTAATTCCTTCCCTTCTTTAAGTTTTTGTGTATGTCACGTGCCCAGTGCTGTGTGAAGATGTGGGATTGCCCAAATATGAAACAGTCTCTGCTCCTGAGGTTTCACAGTTTAGGGGGCAACATACAAGCATCATAAAACATATCAATGCAGTGGCCTATGCACTATATCAGAGGTCTTTAAAGATGGCTATGGGAAGCAACTGCCTGGCCGGGAAGGCTTTGGAGGGGAGGGTGTCACAGGGTGAGGAGGAGTTCAGTGGTGGGGAGAGAGGAGGACATCTCGGATGAAGGATGGAGAGGGGAAGAAGGAGAGAAGGTGTGGAAGAGCTTGGGCTGCTCAGCCGAGGGAGAAGTTGCCTGTAGTGGAGCAGAGAGAGGTGAAGGTGATGGTTCCACAGGGCAACTGGCACCAGGCTGCCCGGAGTCCTGAAATGCCAAGCTGGGAGTTGGGACTTCATTCTAACAGCAAAGGGCAAAGGGCAAAGGACAGGGGCGAGATGTGATCCGATTCTGCATCTGGGAAGACTTCTCTGACTTCACGGCAACGCGGAGAATGTGTCGGAACGGGGAAGAAAATGGGGCTGGTGAGCAAATGTTCATGAGGCTCCTTCGCTGTCGGGGTGTGGGGTTCCTTTCCCTTCCTGGTTAGATCCTCGTTACTCAAAGCGAGGTCTGTGGAGTGGCAGGGCTCGCCAGAGCCAGCACCACCTGGGACCCGGCAGAGATGCAGCGTCCTAGGCCCCCTCCAGACCTGCCTTTCAACAAGATCCCCAGAGCACTCTAAGCGACTGGATCACATTGCACATTTAGGTTCTGAGTGTTTGGCCCTCACTCTGCGGCTGGAAGGTGGAGTTGAAGGAGAAAGGAGAGCACAGGGCTTTGGGGCCGACGGTTGCTGGGTCCCTGCAATGTTGGGACTGCTCATCCATGGCTCTCTCCCATGGCTTTTCTCAGTCAGGGCATTTGTACCTGCCAACCAGCACACAGACGTGTTTCCAGATGTTTCTGCTCATTGCGTGCTTAAAAATCGTCATTATCAGATTTTCACGTCCAGCCTAAGGCCACATGGAAAGTTATAAGTTGTTCCCACAGTTCTCCGTCCCGGCAGGACTTCTCCTGCATTACATTAACAGCCCCATTCATGGCCTTGATTTTCCAAGCGTTTTTCTGCTCTACCCTTCTAGAAGTTTCCAAACTTGCCTGTAGGTCTTTTTTGGGGGGAGGGGAGGATCTTTTAAAAAATTCTTTAATTTGCCAGCACGCTTTCCATTCATAAACAAACAGGAAGAAAGCCTTCCTCCTTGTCTAGGATGTAGGCATATTAACCTCAGAGAAACAAGATTGTGGATCTTGGGAGAAGGAAAAGCTGCATCCTGATATTGGGGTGCTGCTTTCCCCTGGCTCACACGCAAAGGCCAATGCATATGAGCTAACCATTGCATTGCCCCAAATAAGTGGGCCTCTAGGCTTCAAAGACTTTTTTTGGAGACAAGGTCTGGCTGTGGCCCAGGCTGGAATGCAGTGGCATGATCTCGGCTCATTACAGCCTCGGCCTCCTGGGCTCAAGCCATCCTCTCACCTCAGCCTCCTGAGTAGCTGGGACTACAGGTGCATACCACCATGCCCGGCTAATTGTTTCTTTTTTTTTTTCCTTTGGTAGAGATGGGGTTTTGCCATGTTGCCCAGGCTGGTCTTGAACTCCTGGGCTTAAGCGATCCTCCCACCTCAGCCTCCCAAAGTGCTGGGATTACCAGTGTGAGCCACCTTGCCCGGCCCAAAGACCTTTTATAAAAGCTGAAAATACAGCTTGCAGCCCTGCACTGTGCTTTTCTCAAACTACTGTAGAATTGGTATGATATTTCAATGTACTGTACAGGAAGAGCCAAGGAAATCATGAGAATTCTTTTCTCTAACCTCCTATGATAATTATTTTATATATATCTGCAAAGCTGCCTGGATGTATCCTACCAAGTCAAACCCAGAACCGGACAGCTCATCACAGGACATCCAAGTACAACATACTGTTCTCCCAGAATGAATGTTCTACCAAACAGTTAATCATTCTTTTATTCCAACTCAGGAAAGGGAAGAGAGATGAAGGAAACTGGGGGGAGGAGCAGAACTTACTTTTTCTAATATATCAAGGGTAAATCTTAAAGAGACATGCCTATAACCTATTCCAACAAAGACATCCTAACAAATACCTTGACATTAAAGCAAACCAAAAAAGGATTATAACCTAATATAGCACAGTGGGTAGGCCATGGTCTGTCAGCTTTGGCACTGTGGCCATTTGAGGCTGTGTGATTCTTTGTGGGGGTGCTGGTGTGGGATGCTTATAGCATCTCTGGCCTCAGCCCACTGGATGCCAGTAGTATCTCCTCAGTCGTGACAACCCAGTGTCCTTAGACATTGCCAAAGTCACCCTCGGTCAAGATCAACTGGATTAGACTAAAGAATTAAAGAATGGGCTGGCTGGATTCACATCCCAGCTCTGCCACTGACCAGCTCTATGATCTTGAAAAAGTCTCTTAGTCTCTCTTAAGCTTGATTTCTTCATCTGTAAAGATGGGGATACCTGGCAGGATTACTATAGGATTAAGTACTTTAATATGCATCATTTAGTACATAGCAAGTGTTCATTACCTACTATTTTGGGCATGATCGTGATGTCCTCTCACCTGAGGTAAAATATTGGAACCAATAAACTAGAATGACTCATTGATAAGAAGATTAAAGACACACACCACATCTTACATTATCACATGGGGAAAAATTCTGCTGTAGTGAACAAAAGCATTGGTTTGCCCTACATTCACGCCCAGCTGAAAGAAAAGCACTACACACATCGGATTAGCAGAGAAGCTCTGCAAATTCTGAAGGACTCAAACAGCCTTAATAGGGGTGCTGGACTTAACCATGGAAATCTGGAAAACAACAGGGCACAGTGTATACAGCGAAAAAAAGAACAGAGGGCCTTTTAGAAGAGCAGCAAGCCTAAAACGAAATCCTCCCTTGCTGTAAAAAACCCTGCTGTCTCACTTAAGTGCCTCACTTACAAAGTCCCTGCAAGATCTGAAGTGACTGGCCATCTTTGCTGAAGAATACCGGGTCTCCTCCTGGAAGCTCTGACTTTCATAGGATCCTTGAGGACAGAAGCAGAAGCATCATAGCGTTCTTTAAGACGTTGACCCAAGAGCTCTGGCAGAGCCTGGGGCTGGGGAGTGCTGTGGAATAGAGTTGAAATTGATGGAAGAGCCCTCAGCTTTTGGTTGATTTCATTATGGATGCATAGATCAAGCAAGATGTGAACTTTAAATTGATTGCAACACGTTGTGTTAGCAGTGTGTTCTCTGGTTATTTAATTTCTGTCTGATCTTATCTTAGGTTTCCCAAGATGCTTCTGAAGGTTTTCATGTGCACAGCCTAAATTACACTATCTTTTCTCGTGCCAATATTCCATGTTCCCAGAACGTGTGTAGATGGGGGAAAGTTTCATATAGCACAAATTAGTACTTCTGGGGCCTCTCCCTTGCCTGTAGCAAATTCCTTAGGGATTGAAAGAAAAAAGTCTCTATCAAGTTCTTCTTGTGGTTTTTTGTTTGTTTGTTTTTGTTTTGTTTTGTTTTTGGTATATCTTTAATGGACACAATCATCCCAAGGCCTTGTTTTATGTTTACATATTACTCATCTATTTATTCATTTTACATTTCATTTTATCTTGCATTTAGGTCTTCAAATTTCAATGTCAACTTGAGTGTTATCAGGGTTTTTTTTATGTCAAAAGGCTCAGAAATACAGATGTATAGCTTTACCCAGGTCTTTTTTTTTTTTTTTTTTCCCCCCTCTGAACACACTGTTATTGGTCAGGATCCTGGCCAAAAAAAAAAAAAAAAAAAAAAAAAGACAGTTGAACTGGAAAGACTATTAATGAAGCACTTTGAGCAGAGTTAAGGGAACGAGCCTGGAGTGGTGAGGCACCCGGAACCAGGAATAGTGAGAAGCTCTAATCCCCATGCCCAATGTGGGGGGTGAGGACAGAATTGTCAGCGTCTGATAAGAAATGAGCCTCCAGCAGGAGGGCAGCCGCCTGGTGACATAGCCACCAGCAGTCCCTGGAGAACCACAAGGGAGCAGGGGGAATAATCGCTCTTACTTCTCTCCTCTCTCACTTTTTGATTTCCTGATAGTGCTTCCAGTTGGCCAATCTGGATGGTCCAGTCCAGAGAGTTTAGCCTCCCTGACCCAGAGAAGGGCAGAGAATGATGTTTATTTGTCTATTTCCCACACTGCACTGATTCACAGAGAATAGATCTCGAATGAGGCAGGGATAAGGCACAAACAGAATAACCAACATCAACCTCTTCTTCATTCCTGGATGTTGAAATTCTCATTAGGCTATCAATAGATGAGCAATTCTCAGTAGATTATCAGTGGTGATGGTGTGTGACAATGCATGCCAGCTCTATTCTTGTGATGAAATCCATGTTATGCATTTGTTGGAAATATGTATGTATTTTTTTTTTCAGTTTAGGAAACTTCTCTTTCTTCTGCTTGATTAGCCTTGTGTCTCTGTACAGAATGGATGGCTATCTTAGAAGCCTTAATGCCCGTAAACGAGAATGTGTTAGAAATGGTCATTCTTAATCTCCATCCCAGAGCTACTGAACCAGGAACTCTGAGGCTGGGGCCCATATATTGGTGGCAACGAGCCCCCCAGGTGACTCTGACACATGCTCAAGTTTGAGAAGCACTGGACTAGGTACCGCACATAACTTCTCTGATGTTTCTCACTCCACTTTCTTTTCCAGGTGTTGCTGTGGCAACCAGCAGCACATAGGTGTAGCTGGGTAAACCTTACCTCAGCTACACGTTGTATCTATTTTCTGCCCTTGGGCTGCTTTACTCCCACAGTGGGGGGTAACTGGGGGGCCTGCTCAGCTGTTCCGAGCTTGGGCAAACCTGGAAAGGCTGAGGAGTGAATTAACAGCCCAGGGCAGTCCTGGACCCATGGAGGATGGGAGCCAGGGGATAGATCGCTCCCCATGCTCCTGGGATGGAGGTGCATTCTAAGTGGCTCCTCAGAGGGACCCAGTCAGGGATGGGTGCAGTGGTTCATGCCTATAATCCCAGCACTTTGGGAGGCCAAAGTGGGAGGATCGCCTGAGGCTAGGAGTTTGAGACCATCCTGGGCAACATAGTGAGACCCCATCTCTACAACTGTGGTGTGTGCCTGTAATCCCAGCTACTCAGAAGGCTGAGGCAGGGGGATCACTGGAGCCCAGGAGTTCGAGGCTGCAGTGAGCTGTGATTGTACCACTGCACTCCAGGCTGAGTGACAGAACAAGACCTTGCCTCTAAAAAAAAAACAAAGAGGGCCACAGTGGGACTGAGCCCCATTTACCCGAAGCACTGACCTGTGCAGGAATACCCTTTCAGATTGTCTTTCCCTTTTTCAAGTTCCTTCATTTTTGTTTCCTGGGATTACTTCCCAAAATAAACTTACTTCACGCAAAACCCTTGTTTCAGGCTTTATTTCTTGGGGTGAAAACCAAGCTAAGAGAAATGTTCATTCCCTAGCCTTTATCAATATTTTGCTAACCTTTTAAGGATCAGTTCAAATATAAAACTTCCATCTTCCCAGTTAGAATAAAATATTCTCTCCCTCGTGCTTCCCTAGCACTTATTTTGGCCATGACAGCAGCAGCCATAGTCTGTCTGGAGATACGGTTCTGTAGCTCTCTGTCTCCCCAGCTAGACTAGTGTTCTTGAGATCACAGTGTCTGTGCGTACAAGGAACACTCCCCGACCCCTGTCCTACCGGGTTTTTGGACAGTGCTGAGCACAATAAATGTCTGTTGAATTAAACAGAATGTCAGAGTCACGTCTGATAGCTTTTAAGTCACATTATAATACTTACAGCTCATCTAACTTGGAAAAGTGATATTCTTTATTGCTATGGTCCTGGAACTCAGGCTTTCTCTTTCAGCTATTTTCAACCCAGTTGTTGCTTGAAAATGAGTTGTAATTGGTTGTGCCCATTCAGGGCAGTCAGGGCCAGCTCATGGGCATGCCACCTGTGATGCTGCACAGGTCCTTGTCCCCACAGGGTCCCTGAACTTGCTTAGTGCTCTGCTGTTGACGTCTTGATGTTCTTAATAATTTTTTTTTTTCCTGAGCTGGAGTCTCGCTTTGTCACCCAGGATGGAGTGCAGTGGTACGATCATGGCTCACTGCAACCTCTGCTTCCCGGGTTCAAGTGATTCTCCCTCCTCAGCCTCCCAAGTAGCTGGGATTACAGGTGCACACCACCACACCTGGCTAGTTTTTGTATTTTTAATAGAGATGGGGTTTCGCCACGTTGGCCAAGCTGCTCTCGAACTACTGACCTCAGGTGATCTGCCCACCTCGGCCTCCCAAAGTGCTGGGATTATAGGCATGAGCCGCTACACTAGGCCTCTTAATGATTTTACCTGTGAACTTGTGTTTGATGAGCGAAGTCCCATGGGACAATGGAGATACACATGTGCAGAGGAGATCTATGCAGTGTGTGCGTCCTCCTTCCCTGCTGCCCCATCCACAGTTTGGGATACCCCATGAGCACAGATTCCAGGGGCCCCATGATACATGGGAGTCAGTGAGAGCACTAGGGCTCAAAGCAAGCACAAGGTAAGACGTGAAGTCCACAGTTGAATCATAGGGAAGGGAGAGTAAGAAGAAAGCAAGTAGGGAGGGAGGAGAGTGGCTATACTTTCCATTAGAACCAGGACTTGCTTCAAATGCACAAAGAAGGCAACAGCATTCTAATAAACATCAACGACCAAGGAAGGCTACCGTGTCCTTTCTCACGCATGTTACTTTTTTTCCTGTATTAGCCAACCAGTTATGCTGAAAATAATGACATAGAAGACAAGGAAAAGATAGGAACTTATCATTCCCTTTCTTTTGTTTTTCCTTACACCTCAGTAAGCTGAAGGTAGTGTTGGTGAAATGTGCACATATCAAGAGGTGAAACAAAAAGTTTGGCTAATTTTATGGAGTGTTTCCGCCATTTGGGAAAGAACAAAATGTATACGTATATGAGCTACAAAATATGAATTGTACGCTTGTGGTTGTTCTGCATGCCACCTGAATGTTCCAATAATTTGCGTTTAAAATTGCCATTGCACCGTTTAATGATGAGTGGGAAGATTTAAATACATTCATGCACAGAAATAAATGAAGAAATATTAATACTAATTCAAAAATAATTTTTTGAAAAGTAATACAAGAGAATTGCTTGAACATGGGAGGCGGAGGTTACAGTGAGCCGAGATCACACCACTGCACTCCAGCCTGGGTGACAGAGTGAGACTCCACCTCAAAAAAAAAGAAAAAAAAAATATATATATATGGGCCAAACTTTTTGTGTATGCACATACAACATGCAACCTATACTTATAAATATTGTAAAGAGCTTGAGTCAGTGAGAACTGTCTGTGAGGTGAGCTGCTTCTCCTCCCAGTTAGAATGTGCCAGGCTTTGGGAACGCAAAAATAAAAGCTATCGTCTCTGCCTAAGGACTTTACAGGTTATCAGGGGATTTGAACAAGCAACTCAACCCTCAGAGAAGAGGCTAGTGAGAACACAGGGATAAGGCAGAGTGGGCCAGCATCTCGGTGTGAGCTGGATGTTGTCTCATTTAACCCTGACCACCAACCACTCTCTAACATGGTCCTGGGCACAAAGTAGGCACTCAATCAACTAGAAGAATGAATTAAATTCAGGGTAGCTTCACGGAGGAGGTGACTTGTTAACTGGAAGTCCAATATGTGGGTTTTTATCTGCAGACATCAGCATGAAGTTGTGAATGAACTAGACAAGGAGTGACTTAGGTGACCCATCTCTTAGGAAGGCAGCATTTGCGTCCAAAATCAGTGGAAAAGGAAACACTGGTGTAGACTGGACATGGTGGCTCACACCTGTAATCCCAGAACTTTGGGAGGCAGAGGTGGGAGGATCACTTGAGCCCAGGGGTTGGAGATCAGCCTGGGCAACATAGTAAGACTCCATCTTTACAAAAGTAAAAAATGTAGCTCAGGATGACGGTGCACACCTGTTGTCCCAGCTATTCAGAAGGCTGAGGTGGGAGGATCACTTGAGCCTGGGGTGTTGAGGCTATGTTGAGCTGTGATAGCGTCACTTTCTCCAACCTGGGTGACAGAGTGAGGTTGGTGGTAGTGTGTGCCTGTAGTCCCTACTCCGAAGGAGGCTGAGGCAGGAGGATCACTTGAGCTTAGGAGTTAGAGTCTAGCCTGGCCAACATAGTGAGACCCTGCTTCTATTAAAAAAAAAAAAAAACCCAAAACACTGGGGCCTATTCCTGCCTTATGTGTTACACATAGGATTCACAAGGCTAGTGTGTAATTTGTCATTATAAATGTTATGACTAAAAATTAGAAAAATCTTTGTGTGTTCCTTACACAGATGTAATATCTTTCCACTCCTTACATTTAATAATTCACCCATATAACCTCTTCTTTTTTCCATTCATTTTATATTTCTTTGCCACAAGAAACTGAACAACTTTCACCCCTGGAAGAAAAACTAGTTCATCAAATCTCTTTTTTTTTCAGATGGCCCCAGGACTCCTGGAAGATGATATGTGGCAATAACTGTCACCCAGAGCCACCAAAGCACTTCACCTGCCCTGCCTTGTAGCCTGCCCTGCCTTGTAGCGCTTCTGCCGGGTGTCACTGCTATTTGTATGTTAATTAGACTGGGGGTTCCCCGAGAGTGGCTTGTATCTCCGTGACCCCTGTGTCTCTGCCGGGGCCCTGCACAGTATCTGCTACACCGGAGCAGCAAAATAAATGGGGCTGGTTGAAGGAGTAAGCTAAGGCCAGCTAACTGCTCTCAAGCGCCTTTAATTATGGTCTTTGGTGCCCTCTTACCGCTTCATCTTATTTATCACTCTTTTCCTGAGACCTTCTAATATAGAATGCAGACACGAACATGTGTGCATGCACACACACGCACGCTGGCTTAATATATGCACAGTGGAAGCTGAATACAACATCTCGCTGGGACACTTCCACACTTGTTAAGACAGTTCCCAAAACACATTAAAAAATGATGGATTGTGCCGTCCCGGCTCCTTGTTCATTTTAGCACGATAGAATTTCTTGATAGTGTCTGATTTCAGAGCACACCTGTAGACCTAGTGACAGCCTGCGCTCCTGGGTGGGTTTGGAAAAGCGCTTATTTGTTCTGAAGCTAAAATTAAACTGCAAGTTTTTACATGTTGTTTAGCGGCAGCAGCTGATGCAAATCTTTGTCAACACGGAACTTTTCACACCTCAGGTTTCAACTACAGTAAGTGGATTACTATGTAAGACTGGCATTGGGTTTTTGGCACTGAAAATGAATGAAGTAGCTTGGAGAAATTAAAAGTCATGCTCTTTATCTTCCTTTGAGTTACAATCTTTTAATTTTAAGAATTTTCAGAATTTGGGCCACTTTTGTTCTTTCGTAGCACTTTTGAGTTTCCTCGTTCCAGCCAGGACGCCTGGACGGAAAAGGGAAGCGCCAAGCGCTTGTGTTGGTGAGGAGATCGTCTTTCCTGGAGAGGGAAGTGGCCTTGTCTGGAGTCTGAAACGCTAATCTTGCCACGCTCTAGTTTGCCGTGCTGCAAGTTCCAGTCTTTGCATTGCAGCCCCCTGTCCTTGGCCCACGTGGTTTTTGTAGCTGGCACATCCTTTTGTCTTTCTGCTGTGCCCCTCTTTGCCCATCCTTGACAAAACATCCTGTTCTCAGTGAAAGATCCAGGATGAACTCATGGGAAGCCCTGCTCACTATACAAGGTCTCTCCCAGTGTCACACGCTTTTTTAGATGACAACCCCTTTTGCACAATTTTTCATACAATCAGCAGGAAAAAATCTCTCTCTGCACATACCATGACTTAGACAGCTATGGGCCTCAAAAATAAGATGGGAACCAGAACGTAGGGGAAGATTAAAAAAAACGCACTGCTTAAAATCGAAGCTAATGAGACTTTCACACTACGAATGGGACGAGCTGCATGCGGGAAAACCGCCGATTGTAATGTGGTCTATGTGCTGTTGTTATCTATGGTTATTAGAACAATTACAAATTTTTTCGACATTCAGATCTTAGTATTTTTAGAGTTTATTATGTGTTTATTTCTATTAAAGACTTAATTTTTAAGAGCAATTTTAAGTTCACAGAAGAATTAAGAGGAAGGAAGAGAGAGTTCCCTGCCCCCGCTTACTGCCCCCTGCCCCTGCCCCGCACCCCTTATCAACAACCCTCACCAGAATGGCACATTTCTTACAATCAATGAATCTACACAGATTTGTCATTATCACCCAAAGTCCATAGTTTCCATGAGGGTTCCCTTCTGTTGCTATAAAGTATTTTTTTTTGAAACAGGGTTTCATTCTGTTGCCCAGGCTGGAGTGCAGTGGCATGAACACAGCTCACTACAGCCTCAACCTCCCAGGCTCTAGTGATTCTCTCACCTCAACTTCTCAAGTAGCTGGGACCACAGGCACACACCACCACGCTGGGTTAATTTTTGTATTTTTTGTAGGGATGGGGTTTGGCCAGGCTGGTCTTGAACTCCTGGGCTCAAGGGATCCACCCACCTTGGCCTCCCAAAGAGCTGGGATTACAGGTATGAGCTACAGTGCCCGACCCATATATATATATATATATATATATATATGTTTGTTTGTTTGATTGTTTTGAGATGGAGTCTCGCACTGTCACCCAGGCTGGAGTGCGGTGGGGCGATCTCAGCTCACTGCAACCTCTGCCTCCTGGGTTCAAGCGATTCTCCTGCTTCAGACTCCTGAGTAGCTGAAACTACAGGCACCAGCCACCACACCAGGCTAATTTTTGTATTTTTAGTAGAGATGGTGTTTCACCATATTGGCCAGGGTGATCTCGAACTCCTAACCTTGTGATCTGCACACCTTGGCCTCCCCAAGAGCTGGGATTACAGGCGTGAGCTACCGCACCTGGCCTTGTATTTTTTATCTACATGATGATCAACCTTTAACCAGAAGTAAGTAGGTTACAAATGAAGAAACTGAGGCTTGTAGAAGTGAAGTAATTCTGTACAAGGACACCAGCTAGGATGTGGCAGAGCTGGGACTAGAAACTAAGCCACTGGGTGCTTCGCACACTTCTAGGACTAAGGAAATTAAGGTCTTTTCTTAGATACCTTTAGGAAGCAGCCCTTCTTAAATGGGATTAACCACAAATAATGCATCATCTTGTCACTATGGGCAAAGAGCAGGGGCCTGAGCCTCCGGGGGTGCCAAAAGAGCGGACGAAGTTAAGAATAGTTACTTCCAGCACTGTCAAAGCAGAAAGACATTGTGTTTAGCGAACATAAACATGTTGGTCACTAGAAAAAGTTTATTCACCATCTGGGAAGAGATATTCTATCAGCCTCTATCTAATGCATCCTATCAGATGAAGCAAGTTCCAGGGTCATTCAATTCCTTTCACTTTGGTTTGGTGTATCACACACATCTGGCTAAAAATTCTGCTTCATTGGCCGGGCGCTGTGGCTCACGCCTGTAATCCCAGTACTTTGGGTGGCCAAAGCGGGTGGATCACCTGAGGTTGGGAGTTCGAGACCTGTCTGGCCAACATGGAGAAACCCCGTCTCTACTAAAAATACAAAATTAGCCAGGCATGGTGGCACATGCCTGTAATCCCAGCTACTTGGGAGGCTGAGGCAGGAGAATCACTTGAAACCGGAGGTGGAGGTTGTGGTGAGCCAAGATGGTGTCATTGCACTCCAGCCGGGCAACAAGAGCAAAACTCAAAAAAAAAAATCTGCTTCATTAGTACACAGCAGGTGGAGGGGGGTGTCCTAGCTATTGGACAAGAAAACTATATTCATTGGAAAAGTTTGTCTTTTGCTCTAAAATTAAGGCCATGGCTCTCTAGTTTGTAAATCAGGCTCTTGGTGAATTTCACTGGCACGAATTGATTCGCCGGCACCAACTGACTCCCAGGTGAGCTAGACTTGATGAAGTTTCTGCGAGACTAAGCAAGAGATCTTCAACTCACGATGATCTCCTCAAGTGCAGTCTTCTGAGTCCCAGTTGAATCCACCAGCTCGCCTGCTTCATTATGTGGTATGAGAAGACATCTGATTAGAGCGTCCACTGAAACAACACCCTCCCCACTAGCATCTTCCATTTGAAGAGAGCTTTGTAATCATCCAGTCTAATCCCTGCCCCATTAGAAGTCCTATGGGACCTAGTGGTCACCTAGGCCAGCAGTGAGCTTGTGACCTCAAACTTTATTCTCTTTGGGATAACTCTAATTGTTAAAATTCGTTTTTCTTTATTTATTGAGCTGAAAATTTTCAGTCTGTAAGTTCATTTCTCCAGAGAAATGAACAGAGTAAATCTACTTCACCCACATGAACACCTTTTGAAATATTAGACTTGCAGGAATTATATACAAGATATAAAAAATTCTTACAGTGAATTTCTCTTTTCCCTAACCATTTAAGGACTGTTCAGTTTAAGAGAAGAATGTGACTTTTGTATTGTAGGCAGAGGGTTAAATTTGACTGGAACAAGAGCAGAGTTTAAGTGTTTTAACCTTCCATTATGTGGTGACTGTCAGGAACTGTGAAGGTTCTGAGATTTTACCCTATTTTCAAAGTTAGCAAGTGAGCCTGCCACAGTTTCAAGATGCTGGCAGAAGACACAAGACTCCTGGTTTAGAGATAAAGGACAGTTTACTACTCACAGCAATAGCAGTAGCCTGAGTACCACCATTTTCTTGTGCTGGTTCCCCAAACCCCAGTTTCACAGGGCAGGCAAGCAGGGCCAGGTGTCAATTCCACATACAGGGTGTGTTACAGGAGAGGAGCCCTGAGTTTAGGAAACCCCAATCTTTTATTAAGGGCGGTAAGTAAACCTGCCAACCTTTGCCTGGGGAAGACATTATCTTTATTATACTGGACAGCAAACAAACCAGCCCTTTGCTCCAGAGGAAAGCACTATCTCTGTCTTCAAAGGCCGTTCTCTATGCAAACATCCTTGCAAAGTTTGGAGCAGAGTTAGTGCTTCTGCATGCAAGAGAATCAGAAAGAAGAGAGACTCCTGCCTCCTGTTAGCAGCCACCTTTGACTTCATTTCAACTCTTCCATACAAATCTTTAAATCACCTAAACCAGCGCACTTATTTTTATAAACCTCCTACCAAACCAAAACTTCATGCCAAAAGATACAGGAGCTAGAAAGAAGAAAAGGGAATGTGGGCCTGAATTAATTCATTATTTCCCTACTAAGTTTTATTTACAACTTCCTCTATTAAGTTCTTTTCATTCACATCCAAGAGACTGTTTCTCCTCCATATAATGCAGATTTCTAGAAGGTGATTTCTAGCAATGCATGAATTCAACTGAAATCGTATTATGGACTATATGAAAACTAGAAGTTTTATACAACAAAAGATAAAATAAAGCATGCTATTAAAAGTCAAGTGAGAGACTTGGATAAAACTTTATGACTTTTTTTTTAATAGACCAAAGATTAATACCCAGACTATTGCTCCTGTGTTCCCTACTGCAAAAGAAAACCAAAAACAAACAAACAAAAAAAAAACAGAAAAAACCAACAAGCCAATAGAGAAAGGACAGAGGATCTGAATGAGTAATTAGAGAAAGGGAAATAAAATGGCTGATAATCTTATGGAGAAATGTTTAACCTCAAGCAGTCTTCAGATAAAACCAAGTTTAGAGAATGAGATAGCCTCAATATATTGGTAAAGACGTGAAAGACTGGTAATTGCCAGTATTGGTGAGAAGGTTAAAATAAGCACTTTCTTTTTTTGTTGTTTAATTTAATTTTTTAAACTTTTATTTTAGGTTCTGGGGTACATGTGAGGGTTTGTTACATAGTAAACAAATGTCAGGAATGTTTGTTGTATAGATGATTTCATCACCTGGGTATTAAGCCCAGTATCCCATAGTTATCTTTTCTGCTTCTCTCCCTCCTCTTACTCTCCCCCATCAAGGAGACCCCATTGTCTGTTGTTTCCTTCTGTGTGTTCATAAGTTCTTATCATTTGGCTCCCATTTATAAGTGAGAACATGCAGTATTTGGTTTTCTGATCCTGCATTAGTTTGCTGAGGATAACAGCCTCCAGCTCCATCCGTGTTCCCGCAAAATACATGATCTCATTCTTTTCATGGCTGCATAGTATTCCATGGTGTATGTGTATCACCTTTTCTTTATCCAATCTGTCATTGATGGGCATTTGTGTTGATTCCATGTAAAATAAGCATGTTCATTGTGAGGGGCAGTAATGTAAATTGATACAGACTTTTTGGAGGCCAACTTCTTAGCTGAATCTCGTGACAGTGCTAATTTAATATTGTTGGTAATGGTAAACTATTGGCAATAATGTAAGTGGCCATCAACAGGGGAATGGCTAAATAAATTGTAGTATGTCCATAACTTAAAATATAGCCATACAGCCTTTTCTCTTTTCTCCTTACATTTCCTGTGACAGGCATTTTTAAAAAATGTATGTATTTATTATTATTATTATTATTTTTAGACACAAGTTCCCACTCTGTTGCCCATGCTGGAGTGCAGTGGTGTGGTCATGGCTCACTGCAACCTCAAACCCCTAGGCTCAAGCAATCCTCCCGTCTTAGCCTCGTGAGTAGCTGGGACTGTAGGCATGCACAACCATACCTGGTAAATTTTTTTTATTTTTTGTAAAGATAGGGTCTCTCTATGTTGACCAGGCTGGTCTCAAACTCCTGGCGTCAATCCTCCAGCCCCAGCCTCCCAAGGCACTGAGCCACTGTACCTGGCTGCCATGCAGCCTTAAAAAGAATGTAGTCTATTTATTGATTTGAAATCATCTCTGAAAAATATTGTTTATTAATAAAAGGAAGTTTTATTAACAGTACTTGTAATTTTTTTTAAATCCAAAACATATTTCTGCATGTAAATGTGTAGGTATATATATGCATATAGAAAGGCATGGAAGACACACACCTAGCTGCCAATGTTTATTAACTCTGAGGAGGAGCGTGGACTAGGAGATGGGGGGGGTGTGGGGCATAAAGGTTTAGTTCATTATTCTTCAGTGTTTATTTTTTTTCTGGAGACAGGGTCTTGCTCTGTCACCTAGGCTGGAGTGCAGTGGTGCAAATTCAGTTCACTGCAACTTCCGCCTCACGGGTTTAAGCAATCCTCCAGCCTCAACCTCCCGAGTAGCTGAGACCACAGGTGCACGCCACCACACCAGGCTAATTTTTGTATTTTATTGTAGAGATGGGGTTTTTCCATGTTGCCCAGGCTGGTCTCAAACTCCTGGGCTCATGCGAACCACCCGCCTCGGTGTCTCAAAGTGCTGGGATTATAGGCGTGAGTCACTGTGCCCGGCCCAGTGTTGATTGCTTTAATCCAATGTGTCACTATATTGCTTGTGCGGTTTAAAAATAAAAAAAATTGTACTGCAGCAAATCGATTTGGTTATTCTGTAGTAGTCACATCGTAACAAGTTCCTTATGGGCCAGCAGTGTATAACTCTGGCTGAAAAAAAGAAACAAGTGGAATTTGGGCTGGGCGCAGTGGCTCACGCCTAGAATCCCAGTATTTTCGGAGGCCAAGGTGGGTGGATCACCCGAGGTCAGGAGTTTGAGATCAGCCTGGCCAACATGGCAAAACTCCATCTCTACTAAAAATGCAAAAATTAGCTGGGCGTGTGGCGGGCGCTTGTAATCCCAGCTACTCAGGAAGCTGAGGCAGGGGAGTTGCTTGAACCCGGGATGTGGAGGTTGCAGTGAGCGGAGAGTGCGCCACTGCACTCCAGCCTGGGCGACAGAGAGAGACTCCATCTCAAACAAACAAACAAAAAACAAGTGGAATTTTAAAACAACTACATGGGAGAAAAAAGTAGGATTTTCATGAAATCCTCCCATTTTTGCACAGCACCGAGCTGTCTGGTTTTCTGTGTCTAGAGCTTCCTAATGAAAGAGAGATAAACACATATTGAAATCAAGGGGGAGATCAAGGATGATTAAAGAGGAAGAAATGAAGATATATCACGAGGATACCACAGTAATTCCAGGGATTGAGGAAGCCAGAGTACATAACGAAGAGACGTTATGCACCCTTAGTGACGTGGGAATGAAGGTATCACTAAACAGCTGCTCAAGAAAGACCAGAAGTTCTCAAAGTGTGGTCCTGGACCAGAGGCATCACCATCACCAGAAAACTTTCTAAAAATGCAAGTTCGCAGACCCCGACCCACACCTGCTGAATCAGAAACGTGGGGGTGGGGCCCAGCAAGGCTTTAGCAAACCTTCCGGGGGATTCGGATGTGCATTCAAGCTTGAGAAACATGACTGTAGACCAGCGCTTCCCAGCACTGACTACGTACGAGTCACCCGGGAGCGTGTTAAGCAGCGCGCTCTGATTCAGCAGGAGAGGCCAAGATGCTGCCGTTCTCACCAACGCCCAGGTGAGGCTGATGCTGCCGCTTCTCAGGCCACACGTTGAATCACTTTTGAAGGAAGGTTGAGTGAGCATTCGGTGACTGCAGGGCTTCGTAAGGAAATAGTCAAGGAAAACACAAATAGCAGCATCAGTTTATCTCCATCGATATTTTAAAGGATCGGAGCAAGAAAAATGCTGCTTTTAGTGGTTTGTTGCCTGGTGTTCCACGGATGTTTCACCAACAGCAATGCCTTTGCATATCTATTACATGCTTCCTGAAAGCCCCAAGCATGACCTGTGAAGCACTCCTCTCTGCAGACGCAGAGGCTGACGCTGGCCCATAGAGCTATTTGCCTTCCAAGGTCACAGAAACCTTGGACGGATCGGGCTGGCAAAGGTCTCCTGACTACCCGGCTGGAGCTCTTTCTGCAGGCCGCTTAAGGCTGTCCTAGTCAAGCCACAGTGGGAAGTAGTGACAGAGAGCATGAGATTGACATTGCTGTGCCTCAGTCGTAAAAACCGGACCAGCTCAGTCTCCAGGCTCACTGGTGAATAATAGGAACCTTTATCATCCTTTCCGTCAGAAAGCATTTATTTAAAACCCCTTGGCTAACTCACAGGGTGAGCTGGCCTGTCACACACCATCACATGGTGTGGAAACTGGCAATTAAATTTAGCAACCCACCTCGGCAAACTCAGACTGAGATGTTTACTGGCCAGCCCAGCCCAGGGGGAGCCAGGGGCTTTCATTCCTAAATCAAGAGGTTTCCAGAAAAAGTGAAACACGGCTTGGGTGGGTTATGCTGAATTATGAGCACCTGTCCCCATCAATAACTTGGCGTCCTCAAAATGCTACTGCAGGACTCTGAGGTCCAAGAATGCCTGTCCTGTACACAGCTGAGGGACGGCTATTGGCCTCACTTGCAGGGCTGCCGCTCAGAGAGGGGGAGATGCCGAAAGGGAAGCGCTTGCTTGCTCCAAGGACAGCTTGTTTGTTTACTGACTCTGGGGACAGAGAGAGACAACATTAATCAAAGAATAGATGTCATTTCCCCTCCACACCCTGAGAAGAGTGCTGCAACTGTGGCCCGTGGTTTATCTGTAACAATGTAGGTGAGCCACTTCAGTGCATTTCCATGATGGCAAACAGCAAGGTGGGCATCCTGAGGAGTGAGTTTCCCGGTTTACAGGGGGCAATCAGAATTATGGCCTGGATGCAGTGATACAGCAATGCCTGTAGTCCAGGAAGCTGTTCTGTTATAAAGGTCTACTTTCTGGAACACCCTTGGGGCTGCAAGCTAGCAAAAGTGGAGTTTGTGTGCATCTTCCGGATCCAGCGGTGTGAGTTAGGATGTCTCAACAAGAGGGGCTGCCATTTGTCATCTTAGCCAAAGACTCAGCCAGAATCCTACTCTTTAGTGGGGCTGGGGATGTGATGGTGAGAGAGAGGTAAGAGGATGAGTCTTGCACAAGCTAGACTTGTTAGTCACAGCTTTCCCAACCCTTGACGTGCCTGGTAAATTATAGCTGCCCAAGTGCAGTGAGGGCTTGTCTTCAACGTGGGCCCAGATCTGCTGCTGTGGGCAGAAAGGGAAGGACCCTCGCAGCCCTACAGGAAGGTACCAGATACCACTCTTCCTGTGTGTGAAAGCACCTGCTGCTCAGATTTAGATAAATGTGTTTCAGCTCAAGCACACCCACAGGAGTATCTGTTCTCCCACCTTACACAACAGCACCTGACAACAGAGAACAAAACTTGAAGTGTCGTAAACCGGGCCCTGAGGGGAGGAAAAAGGCTGGCGGATATGGGAGCTACCCCTGCTCAGAAATGAAGGGGAGTGGCTGTGTATTCTTCTGAATGTATAACCCTAGTGAATTTCCAGTAATGCTGGGTGATGATGGAAGGGCATGGAAGCCTTTAAGGCTGGTAAAACCGAGCTTGCCAAGCCAGGTTCTCACATGTGCTGTCATTAAGAGTCCTGGCAACCTGTTAGTGTCTACCCTGCCCCTTCCAGGTCCCATCTTTATCTCTGCTTTCCCTCCTTCCCTTTTTCTTTTGCTCCTTCTTCTTCTCTCTTGTTTCCTCTCCCCTTTTTAGACCTAAAAACAGTGTCTCCCTCCAGACCTTCCTTCAGTCACTGGGGCCCCTGGGCTAAGGAAATAACTGGTCCTCCATGGGGCAGAAGAAACAGGTCAGGGCCAACACTCATGTGGCCTTGAGTCTAATGCCAGCATGACCCGCTGTGTGGGTTGCTGTCTATTTTCAGTGCCTGGTTTCTCTCTCTGTAAGATGGAGATAATGGTCCTCCCTCTCCCTGCCTTCACAGGGATGATTTCAAGGACAAGCAAGATCATGCTTAAAAGCCCGCCTCGGGGGAAGGGCTGGGTGTTATCAGGATTGTTCATTTACCTTCCAGAGTCTGCTGATGTTTTTACTCGTGTCTTTCTCATCTTGTAAAGCAGGTTACATCCTAAGAGTTGTGTTTGGCTCAAGGTCACGCAAGGTTGGGTGTCTCAGCTGGATTTAAACAAAGAACAATTGAGTTCCTAATCTACGGCTCAGCCCATTGGACCACAGTGACCTCTGGTCTCTTGTACCTGGAAGCCCAGCCCTGCTGGAGGAAGTAATGCGCCTGCTCTCCAGGTGATGTGGGAACCTGTTGTGCCGCTGCCTCCTCCCCCAGCAGCCAGGTGGAATCCAGCTCTCTCTGTGTCCCCAGCATGGCACACCTGCCTAGCACAGCCTGCCTTGCAGAGCAGGTGTTGGCTGTGAGATGCTCAGTCTGGCGAGGGGAGTCAGAGGACGCAAATCTGCTTGGGGGATTCAGAAGTGATGGACAGGCCCCAAGTGTGAGATTTCCAGGCTAATTAAAAAGTTTCTCTTCTATGAAACTTTGAATTTAATTAGTTTGCATATGGGGCATCTAAAATGGAAATACCAGGGAAGCAGAAATGCCAAACAAAAGTGGAAAGATCCCTTCTGAGTGGGGGACGACCCCAGCTGCTGTGGCTGCACTGTGGTGGTCGTTTTCCTGGATTGCCCTGCTCTGCTTTGGACTGCAGGGCTCTGTCTTCTGAGAACTACATTTCCCAGGTCCCCTTGCTCCTGGCTTCTGGCTGGCCTCCACCCAGGGAGTCAGTGAAGATAAACCGAAGGGCTAGCGGACGGGAGATTCAGGGCGTTTCTCTGTCTCTCTGCAGCCTGGTCAGGGTCCTTGGCACTGGTCCTCTGTGGCTGGGTGGCCCTTCCCTCCATCCTTCCAATTCCTACCAGATAGTGCAGGATTCAGGTTCAGATAACATCCCCTTTCCAAGCCCAGAGTGGGTAGAAACTTCTAAACTTCTTCCTGTTATTTCTTTCTGGGTTGCCTCACTGCCCCTGTTTGACTTTTCAGCAACTCCAACGTCTTTGCAACCAGTTCCCCATGTTCCATCCCCTCTGCTGAAGACCTAGGCTGGGCACTGTTTTCCCAACTGATCTGTAGCTGGAATCTCTGAAGGCACGTCTGTGGTACACACGAGGAGCCTGAAACTGGGAGAAGCCCCTGGACCTGCCTGTGTGAATTGCATTAGCAGTGGGACAGGACCCAGCTCTCCCAGGGTAACTTAGAGACTCCTGTGGCTGTGCTTCCTTGTCGGGTGGGGGGCACTTTTGGTTTAATCTTAAAAAATTTATAAGTAGGGTAAGAAATTCATAATAGATAACAGGGTGCACAATAAAAACCTCAATTTTCCTCTCTCTGAACCCTAGTTTCCCAGAATTGCAGATAAGAGATTACAGGCTTGTAATATTTAGGACTTCTCAGGCCCTGGACTGGAAGTTTTTCTCATCTTATTTTTGTTACTCACAATAACCTCACGAGATAGAAACGTTACAGGAGGGGAAACTGAGGCTCTGAGGCAGAAAGCAATGTGCCCAAGTATGTGCCTAAGCTAGGATTCGAAACCAGGTCTGCCTGAGTCCCAAGCCTGGGCTGTTCCTGCTATACCCCAGGAGACCATATGCTGTTGTCCACTGTAATTATCAACAGTGCCCTTCACTCTCAGTCTGGTCTCAGAATATGGGTCATGTGATCACGCTGGCCATACCATGCTATGCCTTGGTGATGGACAAACGTTGGTGATGCAGCTTCCTTGATAGTTGAGGCCTGGCCCTCCATTACCATAGACATCATTGGGTTTAAGGACAGCCTTCACACTTTGGTAGGCAGTTCTTCTTGGCTTATGATGGGGGATGTGGACAACCACATGAGCTCCCCTTCTTCCAGGGAGCTTTCCCTGACTTTCACAACTCCCAGGATCTCCTGGTCCATGCTGCGCTACTGACCTCTTTTAACTTTATGGGATTATTGTTCTAATTTATTTTCTCTTTTAAAAACTATGGTAAAGTGCATATAACGTAAAACTTACTGGCCGGGCGCAGTGTCTCACACCTGTAATCCCAGCACTTTGGGAGGCCGAGGCGGGTGGATCACCTGAGGTCAGGAGTTCGAGACCAGCCTGGCCAACATGGCGAAACCCTGTCGCTACTAAAAATACAAAAATTAGCTGGGTGTGGTGGCGCATGCCTGTAATCCCAGCTACTTGGGAGGCTGAGGCAGGAGAACCCCTTGAACCTGGGAGGCGGAGGTTGCAGTGAGCCAAGATTGCGCCACTGCATTCCAGCCTGGGTGACACTCCTTCTCAAAAATAAAATTTAAAAAAACCCCACTTACTATCTTAACCATTTTTAAGTGTACAGTGTAGCAGTTTGTTTTTTTTAGAGACAGAGTCTTACTGGCTCAAGTGCAGTGGCACGCTCACAGCTCACTGCAGCCTTGGCCTCCTGCACTTAAGTGATCCTCCCACCTCAGCCTCCCCAGTTGCTGGGACTGCAGGCATGAGCACTGGCAGTTTAGCAGCATTAAGCACGTTCACATGGTCTTGCTACCACCACCACCATCCATCTCCAGAACTCTTTTCATTTTGCAAGACTGGAGCTTTGTGCCAATTGAACACCAAGTCCCTTTTCCCTTCTCCTTCCAGCCCCTGATGACCACACTTCTACTTTGTTTCTACGAATGTGGTGACTCTAGGTATCCCCTGTAAGCAGAATCATTCAGTATCTGTCCTTTTGTGTCTGGCTTATCTTAGCATAATGTTCTCAAGGTCCATCCATGTTGTAGCATGTGTCAAAATTTTCTTGCTTTTAATGCATTCTTTTTTTTTTTTTGAGACGGAGTCTCGCCCTGTCTCCCAGGCTGGAGTGCAATGGTGTGATCTAGGCTCACTGCAACATCCACCTCCTGGGTTCAAATGATTCTCCTGCCTCAACCTCCCGAGTAGCTGGGATTACAGACACCCACCACCATGTCCAGCTAATTTTTTGTTGTTGTTGTATTTTTAGTAGAGATGCAGTTTCACCATGTTTACCAGGCTGGTCTCGAACTCCTGACCTCGTGATCCGCCTGCCTCGGCCTCCTAACGTGCTGGGATTACAGGCGTGAGCCACCATGCCTGGCCAAGGTTTGTTTTTGTTTTTGTTTTTTTTGGAGATGGAGTCTCGCTGTGTCACCCAGGCTGGGGTGCAGTGGTGTGATCTCGACTCACTGTAAGCTCCGCCTCCCAGGTTCATGCCATTCTCCTGCCTCAGCCTCCCGAGTAGCTGGGACTACAGGCATGTGCCACCACTCCTGGCTAATTTTTTTTGTATTTTTAGTAGAGATGGGGTTTCACCGTGTTAGCCAGGATGGTCTCCATCTCCTGACCTCATAATCTGCCAGCCTCAGCCTCCCAAAGTGCTGGGATTACAGGTGTGAGCCACCACACCCGGCCCCAAGGCGTTCTTAATTAAGTTTTATGTTAATGCTCTAAGGGTGAGTACATCCTTGTGGCTTTTGGAGTGTCACACAGTGTGGCAGTATATTTGACTGCTTAGTCAGTATTAACAAGTGAATAATGCAGATTTGACATTTTCTAGCACTTGTAGCTGCCAGAGGAGTGAGGCAAGAGGCTTACAAGTTGAGCGCAGCCCCCAGTCAGTCTGTGACCTGGTCTTTTGTGGCATCATTGCTTTCAACTACACTTGTACTTAAGTTTATGGCATAGATTAAGAATTGGCTTTTTGCACTTAATTGAAAAACAGAGGTTACATAGTGGTGTCTCATCAGTTCAGCAGCAATGCTTCAATCAGAGGTGCACGTGTGTGTGAAAGTGTGAGTGTGTGTTTGTGTGAATCACTTTGCAGTGACAAGCTAGATGCAGGCCGTGGAATTTCTCTTCCCATTTACTCTGCCTTAATAGAAGCATTGGTTTAGAGAGAATATTGATATGCTGATTCTAAATTGGAGACCCTCCCAAAAGAAGAAAAAGTCTCGAGTTTCTTTTCCTGTCTTTTTATATGAAGAGTGTTTCCTTCAAAGGAGAACAGGAAAGAAGGTGCTGAATTTGGGTGTGTGGGCTCTTTGCTCGCTTAAGGCCCAGGGAGTCACCACAGCCATGGCTGACAGTGCCAGCTTTCCTGCATGCGGCCGCTGGCCCATGGGTTTCACTTTCCTGTTTTACATTGTAGAAATGGGGACAGAGAGACCGAATGACAGGCACGTGGCCACGCAGCTGATTCAAATAGGGGTGGTCTGGCTCTGTCAACAAGGTTTGTTTAGGGTCTGGTAAGGGGTCACATCTTGGAGGTATCAAGGTGCACTTGGCTCCAATTGCATCTGCGTCTAGCAGGCTGGAGTTTGCTGCGCACCGTGGGCTGGAGCCAGGCCTGCACGCCTCCCTCCCATCTTCAGACAGCAGCTGCCTCTGGCCTTGGCCTGCTTTCCTCTCTTGCTGAAGGAGCCCCACCAGGTGGCCCAGCGTCCTCCATCTGTGGGGTCTCAGGCCTTGCGTAGCCTCATGCCCCAGGAGCTCATCTTGATGCTGGACGTTGCCCTGAGGTCAGCCTGGAGTTCTAGCTGGGCCTGGTGACCCTGAAGCTGTCTCCGCCCAACACTGCTTCAGCTTCTCAGAGGCCCACGGCTATAGTCAACACCAGGAACACTGTCCATTCCAGAAGCTCCCCTGTGTGACTGTGAAGCACATGGCCTGGGGTGGAGGAGGTGAAGATGAGGGTGGATGTTCCAGTTCATCATCCGGGTACAGTTCTCTTCTTGTTACCTGAGCTCTTGTGTGTTACTGAAAGCCAATTGGATGCACATGGAGTTTGAACAAATAAAGAATGAACACTGGGGTAGGGCACTGTCACCTCTAGGATACCATGTTCTAAAACGTGCACGTGCCCCTGGCGTGGTGTGATATGATAAGTCTGCAAAACGAGCTCTTGGTGGGAATGCATTTGGGGCCTTATCAATCAACCCCAAACAGTGTAGACACAGACAGAGATGGGCGTGGCATTGAAGCCAGAGTGTTCTAGGTACTGTGTGTGTGCTGGGGGTAATGTGTAAGTTCTGTTTCCCAAGATGTTGGGAAGAAACCCTGCCTGCCTGGAGTGGCTTCTGGGATGCAGCCTCGGAGCAGGCCTGGTGGTGCAGGAAGCATCTGGCTGTCACGCCTGGAGCTAGTGTGCCCCTGGCCCCCGGCCTGCTTGCTGGCCAGCCTGGAGCATGGAGGGGGAAGAAGCTGCAGAGGAAATTGGTGGGTGAGGCCACCACGGGTTTGCAATAGGTCTCAACCTGTCACCGTCAAGGCGGGGCCTCCCATAAAAGGCCTCTTTAGCCAGAATTTGGGTTCCTTTTGAGCCTTGTACAGCACAAAATGAATCCAAGACAAGCAGACAGTCTGGTTTTACTCCTTCGGTTGATATATTTTAAACTCTGTAGTGCATATTTACATTTTTAACCACATGCTGACTTACTGTTTGTGTGGGGAGGTCTGTGCTCTCCTAGTGCCTTGTCACGGGGAAAGGTCATCCGAGGCTGGGCTCCTTCATGCAATCACCAAGTCTGGCTGTGGGAGAAAAGTCCTGAGTCCTTGGGTAGCTGTTGTGGTACCTGCTCTGAGAAGTCCCCCAGCCACTGGGCCTGGACCTGTCCTCAGCTGCCAGTTCAGTGGGTCTCGCCTGCACCCCAGGCCGTCTGTCATCTGGCCAGGCTCTGACACAAGGGTCACGGGGCTGGGGGAGGCTCCTGGCCAGGTGTGGCGAGGGGCAAGCCCACACAGAAGGCAGCCCTCTGCCCAGGAGCCTGCGGGTCTCCAGAGCCTGCTTGCACAACGCTTCCTGCGTGCGTTTGCATCACAGCCTCAGCAACTGTCGCGTCAGCATGTGACCTTTACAATTGTTGACAAGGAGCCACTTCTGGAGACTGTGCTCAGAAGGAGGAGTCCCTCTTCCCGCCACTCTCCTGCCTGCCTGCCCCACACGCTGCGGCCCACCGCTGGCCACTTGGCATTTTATTTCATTTAATTTTAAATTTATGTTTATTTTTTGAATTGATTTTATTCTGTTTTATTAATTTAATGTAATGTTATTTTAAAGATGGGGTGTCGCTCTGTTGCCTAGGCTGGTCATGAACTCCTGGGCTCAAGTGATCCTCCTACCTCAGGCTCCCAAAGTGCTGGGATTACAAGTGTGAGCCACCATGCCTGGCCTATTTATTTTAGAATTTATTTTATTGTTATTTTTAACCTCACTGCCTGATGCGCACTTTTGGAGAATTTGGCACTTCTCCCTCCCTGTGAAGACCCAAGATCGGCCCCCGTGTCCTGGCATCACTGCTGTCACCTCCAGGCATAGTTTGGCAACAGCCCCACCAGCACACACACGCACCCCCTGATATTTTCTGATTCTCAGTGGGGCTCGAGGAGCCTCCTGCTCCCAGCTTTATCTGACCTGGGGAGGAGTCGGGTGAAAGGAAAGGTACAGGGCACCTTGTAGAAGACCTGGCAGAGGAGGCTGGAGGAGGGAAACATTTCCGGGCAGGAAAACACTAATAGGGCCGTTCAGCGGCTCTCAGGCCTAGAGGGGTGTGATCCCTACAATTCAAGGCAGGCCCCAGACCCGCCTGGGCTTAAGGGCTGCAGGGGGATCCTTTTCTCTCCCTCATTGCAATTTAGGCCATTCTTCCCTGGAACACACGAGTCAGAGTCAGCCAGGTAAGAGGCAGAGAGAAAGCCAATTCCTGTACCTGGAGGAGATGTGGATGCCATGGAAACTTGGTGCCCTTGGAGGCTGCATGAAGTTGAAAGTGGCACGGTGGCAAGCCCGGGAACTGGGAAGCGGGGATCAAGGGAGAAGAAAATTGAGATTTTATTATGTATCCTCTTAAGCATTGTGACAATTTTATCCCACATATAGAAGAATTTTTTTTAACATTACACTAAAAAAGTTGCACAACTTTTCACTGATTTCTTGGAAATAGGAAGATACAGAGATTCTCCGAGTGACTCACGGTCAGCCTCTACTCATGGGCATGGGTGCTGATTGTTTCAGCCACTGGTACCTCCTTGACTGCTTCCCAAAGCCAATTAATCACTAAGCTCTACTAGTTGTAGCTCTTAAACATTCTTTCAATACATGGATTTCTCTTTATTACCCCCTAATTCAGGAGTCAGTAAACTATGGCTCTTAGGCCTGATCTGTCTGCTGACTGGTTTGTAAATAAAGTTTTATTGGAACATGGCTATGTTCATTCATTTGTATACCATCCAAGGCTGATTTCTTTTTTGAGATGGGGTCTCTGTGTCACCCAGACTGGAATGCAGTGGTGCGATCTCGGCTCACTGTAGCCTCAATCTCCCAGGTCCCAAGCGATCCTCCTACTTCAGCTTCCTGAGTAGGTGGGACTACAGGCATGCGCCACCATGCCTGGCAATTTTTGTTTGTTTGTTTTTTTGTAGAGATGGTGTCTCATCATGTTTCCCAAGCTGGTCTCAAACTCCTGGGCTCAAGAGACCCACCTGCCACAGCCTCCCAAGGTGTTGGGATTACAGGCGTGAGCCATGGTGCCCAGCCCATGGCTGATTTCTTTATTGTTTTCTTTTCTTTTTGAGACAGGGTCTCACTCTGTTGCCCAGGCTGGAGTGTAGTGGTACAACCACAGCTCACTGCAGCCTCGAACTCCTGGGCTCAAGCTGTCCTCCCACCTCAGCCTCCTGAGTAGCTGGGACTACAGGCATGTACTACCACATCTGGCTAGTTTTCAAATTTTTTTGTAGAGATGGGGCCTCGCTTTGTTGCCCAGGCTGGTCTCGAATTCCTGGGCTCAAGTGATTCTCCCACCACAGCCTCCCAAATTGCTGGGATTACAGGCCTACGCCACTGCTCCGGCCCATGGCTTCTTTTCTTGCTAAAAAGACAGAGCCGAAGATGCCCCAGATATTTGTTATCTGGCCCTTTACAGAAAATATTTGCTGACTCCTGCCCTAATTCATCCATTAGCGTCTTTCAGTGGAGTGAGTGAAACATCTTCCTAACTGATGTCTATGCCTCCAGTCTTGTTCTCCTCCCATCTATTTTCCTCACTCTGGCCTTTGTAAAGGGAAAATCTGGTTATGGCACTTGGCTGCTTGCTCCGCTGCCTCCTTCTGCTCTCTTGATGGATTCTAAACACCTTCTCATGGTCTGCAGGATTCTTCCACTCAGCCCCCGCCCTCCTTTCGCCACTGTGCCACGTTCAGCTGTATGCAGCTTCCAGCCACCGAGTTCCCACGGCACCTAGGTCTCCCTGCAGGTGTGGCCATTGGTGTGTGCTGCTTCCTCTTCCTGGAATTACCTTTCTGTCTGCTCCTTACCTGGCCAACTCTGACTCATTCTACAGTTCTCAGGAAAGCCTGTTGGCTTCCCAAGGCTGGGCTAGGAGGCTTTTCTGTGTGCTTCCATGGTGCCAGGTTATATTGAAAATTTCATTTGCTTCCTTCCTTCTTTCCTTCCTTCCTTCCTCTCTTCCCCCCTCTTCTATATATTGTATTAGTCACTAATTGCTCTAAATACAAAAAAACAAAACAAAACCAAAATAATCCAAAGCTCCCTGCTGCTCTCGGAGGCTTGCATGCTGGTGGGCAGAGATAGAAATTAAGCAAGATTAGGAGGTAGGGTAGAGAATATTAGAGAGGAAGATGTCTTGAGAAGAAGAAATAAATCAGGAAGAGGATATGAAATACTGGGGGTGTTGACATTTTAGATGGGGTGGCTAGACAAGGCCTCCCTGAGAAGGCCTCTTTTGGGGAAAGACTTGCAGGATGGGAGGGAGTGAGCAATCTAGCTATTTGGGGAAGAGCGTCTAGAGGTATGGTATGGTGAGGTATGGTATGGTATGGTATGGTATGGTATGGTATGGTATGGTATGGTATGGCATGGCATCTAAAGGTATGGTACAAAGTCCTGAAGACAGGAGAAATGAGGCCAGTGTGGCTAGAGAGGAGAAAAGGAGGAAAAGAGCAGGAGGATGGATAAATGCTATGGGGTGGCCAGGTCCCACGGGGCTGTGGGAAGGACCTTGACCTTTACTCTGAGGAGCATGGGAGCCATTGTAGAGTATTGAGCAGAGGAGTGACATGACCTGTCTGGAGCTTTCCACAGAGTCCTTCTGTCTGCAATTTTACTCTCCATTAGACTGACAAGCTCCTTGAGGGGAGGCACTGTGTCTTGTTCACCTTTATTCTCAGGACATAGCACATCTAGCTTTAGAAGACCTCAATATATATTTAACAAATGAACAATGAATGAATGAATGCATGCATGCATGAATGACTGCTATCTCCCAACCGCCAGATCCTGGCTCCTAAGGGCTCTGGGAATCTTCTCCCTGTGGAAGGAAAGCTCTGGTAGAAAATGCTGCCAACAGCTAAGGCCTCGGGGTTCTTAGCTGCTTGCTTGGATGTCACTATGGCAGCAACATACATCCAAACCAGTTTTCACTGTTGCCACAGAGCAGCTGCTTAATTAATCAATGTCACCCGGAGGGAGGATTTCAGGGGTGACCCTGCCCTTCACAGTCTTCTGCTGGATGAAGTCATAGAGTTATTACCAAACTTGCAGATGGAGGTAGGAGGAACAGAGGGTTTGTTGATGGATGGACTCAGGATTTACAACTATCTTTATAGGTTCAGGCCTATAAAGAGGCCTCATCAACTGGAGAAGGTAAGATAGGGAGATGTCAGGTTCTGCATCAGAGCCCCAAATCAACAGTAAAAACGGCCACTGGGGGGATTTGTAGCTTTGGTAGGTGTCAAACACTCTGAGTTAAAAGTGTGAAGCAACTGTCAAAAGTCTTAAAGCTCTCTGAGAAGCCACTGTAGATGTAGGTGAATAGATGCATCTTATCTGAGAGCTGTAAGCTGCCTCTGTGTAAACCCACTCCCAGGATTCCAGGTAGGACACCTTCAGAGAGCTGTGAGCACACTGGGAGGATGACAGGGAGGGGTATTTGAGAGCACAGTGGGTGGTTATTTGGAGAAGAGGAGTCTAGGGGTGGGACTTGATAAATGTCTCCAAATATTATTAGTTCTGAATTCTTAGGTCTGAGAGAACTTAGATTTGAGAGTTAATGTGAATGCCCTCAAGGGGATGAAATAGGACCAACTGGATATCAGCTCAACTGATGGAAGCAATGTCCAGACATCAGACGGGTTGCTTCAAGCCTCTCTCTTTTTTTAGTAGGGAGGGGAGGACAATCGGTAGGGAGGAATGCTGTGGAATTGACTTAAGCATCAGATAAGCACTGGAGTTCTTCAAAATGCCTTTTCACACTGGGGTTCCGTGAATGCATCTCCTCTACTACTGTATGGCCGACTGTGCTAGTTACTCTTTAATACCCGTTCTTCACTGCTTCATCAGTAATGATAACCCACAATTTTAGCATACCTTTCAAGGGCAAAGGCTTCTTTCCTCGGTCTCACTTGGATCTAGGCATGGTCAAGGGGAAAGCTACGGCTAATGGACTAAAAGCAGAAGTATCATGTTCAACTTCTGGGAAGTAGTATTAAAGAGAGGGGGTGTGTCCTTATTTCTCTTTCCTACTTGCTGCGGGCTAGAATGTGGATGTGGTAGCTGGAGCTCAGTAGCCATTTTGGGCCATGAGGTAGAAGCTCTGTGTTGATAAGAAGCCTGGGTTCCTGACGATCTTGGCCAGTATTGCAACCCTGGACTGCTGACCGTTACTATTTATGTGAAAGCTATATAAACTTGCATTTCTTTTTATTTTTATTTTTTTTTTTTTGAGATGGAGTCTCACTCTGTCACCCAGGCAGGAGTGCAGTGTCACGATCTCAGCTCACTGCAACCTCTGCCTCCCAGGCTCAAGCAATTCTCCTGCTTCAGCCTCCCAAGTAGCTAGGACTACAGGCGCACACCACCATGCCCAACTAATTTTTGTATTTTTAGTAGAGACGGGGTTTCACTGTGTTGGCCAGGCTGGTCTCAAACTTCTGACCTTGTGATCTGCCCACCTTGGCCTCCCAAAGTGCTGGGATTACAAGCGTGAGCCACTGTGCCTGGCTACAAACTTGCATTTCTGACAAGCTATAGTTATTTTTGGGTTTTTCTGAAACTTACAAATGAACCCATTTCTACCTAATGTACCATGGAAAGTAAATACACACACACACACACACACACACACACACACACACACACGAGAAGAAACAGCATTGCTTGGCTTCAAATCCAAACTCCACTACTTGCTAAGTGCTGTGTGTCTTTAGACAAGTTTCTTAACATTTCTGTGCTTCAGTTTCCAAACTGAGAAACTGGGAATAATAATAGTAACAACTGTGTAGTTTTTGTTTGGCTGGGTTTTTTTGTTTTTTTGTTTTTTGTTTTTGGAGGAGCAGATTAAATGAGAGAATATATTTATTTAAAGACATAGAACAGTGGTCTATACATAGCAAAGATTTGATACATGTTAGCGACGATCATCATGTAGGCACCATCCACATTTTCTTTTTCTTAAAACAGACTTTCACACTATTGCCCAGGCTGGAGTGCAGTGGCACAATCTTGGCTCACTGCAACCTCTGCCTCCTGGGTTCAAGCGATTCTTCTACCTCAGCCTTCCCAGTTGTTGGGATTACATGCGCCTGTCACCGTGCCAAGCTAATTTTTGTGTTTTTAGTAGAGACGAGGTTTCACCATGTTGGCCAGGCTGATCTCGAACTCCTGACCTCAAGTGATCCACCCACCTTGGCCTCCCAAAGTGCTGGGATTACAGGCGTGAGTCACTGCACCTCTTGGCAAACCATTTACACTTTCATTTCCTCATACTCTGCCTCTCCATACTAAAGAGTTTTCCTCATACTCTGCCTCTCCAAAACTATAGGGTTTTACCAAATATGTTTCCCCTTATTTTGTTTTCATTTGATGACTTCCATTAATGTCCCAGAACACAAAAAGAAACCATGTTAAGAGTAGTCAAAATGCAGTTTATGCATAGGCAGCCAAGGTATTTTCTTCAGACAATCTGCTGTAAGGCATGGGGTTGAGGAATGAACTGTGTCTAGAAAAATGGGTCGCTGGGGTTTGCTCTGTGTTCTCAATAACTTCCCTGTTCTGGTTATGAGTTCTTAGATTGTGTAGAAACATAAACTTCATAGCAGTAAGCACTAATCAGTACCTAGAGAAAGAGTAGCCTTCTCTGCTTAGAGGTTGTCTTTCTCAGTTTCTAAAGAAGCCTAAGTTTGAATACCATCTGTTCATTTGTTTATTTATTGAGTTATTCATGGGGATACAAAGTTAGATAAGAAGGGGTCCAGACTCCTAAGATGCTCACAGTTGAGTAAAGAAGGCAGATGCAGCTGCATTTCCTGTGCCTCTCTGGACATGCCTCTTCTCATGTCTGGCTCTCTGAGCCATGGGTGTCAGTGGGTGATTAACAGTTTGCTAGCAATAAAAGGTGGGGTGGTGCTTCTGGGAACTGATCCTCCAGAGGCGTCTGCACACGTATGGAAGGATGTACGTGAGCAGTTATTCACGGCAGCATCTCTTGTAGGAGCAGAAGCCTGGAAGCAACCCAAGTGTCGTCTTTAGAGGACTGGGTAATCCGTGAACATCCCACACATGAATACTACACAGCAGGGCAAAGGAGCAGGGCTGCTGTCTGTGCACAGACCTGGCAAGCTTTCCAGAAAATGCCGTGAAGAGACAAAAGCAAAAAGCATTGAGTATATATAGCTGGTTATATTTTGTGTAAGAAAATAGCATCTGTGTCAGTATTTGCTTGTATTTTCAGGAAGACTGGAAAGATATCAGTGACCTTAGAGAATATAAAGTAAGATAAAGGGTAACTCTAAGTGGAACAAGTTTTTTTTTGTTTGTTTGAGATGGAGTCTCACTCTGTCGCCTAGGCTGCAGTGCAGTGGCGTGATCTCGGCTCACTGCAACCTCCGCCTCCTGGGTGCAAGCGATTTTCCTGCCTCAGCCTCCTGAGTAACTGGGACTACAGGCATGCACCACCATGCCCCGCTAATTATTTTGTATTTTTAGTAGAGATGGGGTTTCACCATGTTGGTTAGGCTGGTCTCAAACTCCTGACCTCAAATGATCCGCCCACCTCAGAATTAGGTTTTAATGTTATAATTTGATAATTATCCTATTCAACAACATATCAAATCTGAAAGAAATCACATGAATTTTTTTTTATTATTATACTTTAAGCTCTAGGGTACATATGCACAACGTGCAGGTTTGTTACATAGGTATACATGGGCCATGCTGGTTTGCTGCACCCATTAACTCGTCATTTACATTGGGTATTTCTCCTAATGCTATCCCT